>NC_000007.14:90688597-90991627 GCF_000001405.40 Homo sapiens
AAAAAACTGCTGCTAACAGATTATTACAAAAGTAAACTAGAAAAGATATTCCGTGACATATTTAAAGTTTATTATGGTAATGTAATAAAAGCTGTCATACTTAGTGACCTAGTGGGAGAATGTCCCAAAACAGGATTTCTGATAGAGCAGGCACTATAATCTCCACTGGTGTAGTCAGTGCTGACTTCAGAGACAGTTTGGAACAGCGTTCATATGTAGAAACAATATTTACAATATGATTATATTACTCTGCCCACCCAAAAGCCATAATGAATTTTCAGAGTCCCTCCCTTCCCTTTTCTCTCTCCTTTCCTCTCTCCCACCCAGCAAAATAACTGTGCTGTATGAGACTTTGTGTTCAGCATTGGGTTGGAGTGGTTAGTAAACCAGAAAGAACAGTCCCTGGCCCTCCCACAGTGCTTGCCTTTGTGGAGCTTGAGCTCTGTCCTCCACCGCTCCTCCACTGTCAGTACCCTTAGTTTTCAGACAAGTCAGCAGGCAGTTAGAATACAGTATCAATACTGTAGTTGTAGGTATCTTGAATTCTGGTGCTCAAGAATAAGCAGATATGGCTGAATGTGGTTGAAGAGGTGGAAAGAGACTTGTGGAGCTCTTAAAGGGATTTGTGTTTACTTTCAGGAGCCATAGAAAGAAGATAATGGTGCTGGTTTTAATGATTAATTTAGCTTATTTATGATTTTCTTTTTATCTGGTACAGATTAGATACTATTAATACTTTTATTTTTATCTGTTATCACCAGGGTCCTTTGTTTTATGTATGGACTGAAGGGCTATTCAGGGAGGTTGGGTGTGGGTAGGGAACCTCTTAAGATTGAGCAAGAATGGCAGAAAATGGAGGAGAGGGATAAAAGAGGAAGGGCATGAATGAATGAAAATGAAAATGTTTAATTGAACTGTGTAGTCTGTGAGCCCTTGGTCTCCTTTGAGGAGAAAAAGACCGAAGGCATTTTTACAATTAGATCTTCTCATACTACCCCAGGGAAAACCATTAGCCCAGACTAGTTTAGCTGCTGACTAGAAATTTGTTCCTTGGGGAAGGGTAAGAAATACATGACTGTTGTGAACAGACTGCTTTTATATTTAATGTTTATAAAATGAGTTTCCATAATCCTATATCTTTCCATAATTCCAGGGAATTTTGACCTCAAAATAGCATTTGAAAAAATGTATGGAACTTAAATACTTTGAAGACATAAAACACATCTAGGACTTAATAATTGTTTGCCGAATAGATGAGGAATTTGAAAGTTTGTAATAAACTGCAAATTATTTGGAAATCATTCTTTGATGATATAACAGGAAGGGAAATTATTGGGCTTTGAGAAAATTTTTATAGAATTTCAGGCTTCATGATCAACGTAAGAGACTTACATTACGAAGACTAACTACTATATTGATGCTCAAACTTACATTTTAGTTTTTGCTTACCTTTTTAAAAAGTAAATATTTTCTTCTGTGTACTTAACAAACTGCATTAGAAAAATCTGATCATTTGTACTAGGCATAATTTTTGATAAAGTAGTATACCATCAAAAATTGAGGGTTCACTTCTTTAGACTGTAAACCCTATAAAGCAGACCTCAATCTACTTTTAATGCTCTGAAAGGTATATTAGGTAAGTTTGCTTGATGTTTGCTGTCTTAGAAGAGGCAGGTTGTGTGACACTTAAGTGTGTGGGTTCTGGGGCCAGGCTGCCTATATTTGAATTGTAGCTTTACTAGGATTCCATTTGGTGGCCTTTTTAGTGCCCCAGGTTTCACATCTGTAAAATGGGATTAAAAATAGTACCTGCCTTCCTCAAGGGATTCTTGTACAGTTTAAATATGGCAATACCTGTAAAATACTTAGAAATACCCATTATTATGGTCAATATTTTACTATTAACTTCTTTCACTATGTCTGTGTACTTTTTGTTTATAAAGTATTATTAAATAAAATACCACAACTTAATTTATTTCATCTTAGCAGGAAGTTTCTTTAGAAGCACGAAAGATTGTGTTTATAACAGTATTCAGTATAATAGTGTGGTTTCTCTCATATTGAGCCAGATGGCGTTCTCTAGCTACAGAATGAGGAACCCTTTAGCTGTGTGTCATTTTATGAGCCGCAACATACATTAATTTAAAATAAAATTATTATGAATTTAAAAATTGATATATAGCAAATGTAGAGAATTTTCCCCATGGTTGTAATAAAATAATTTTTGTATCATGATATGTAAGAGCAAAAGAATAAGAATGAAAACAATTATACTTCTAAGCATTCATTTTGACAAAGATTACTTTAGAAAGTAAGCAAATTAAAGTAAAACAGAATAAACAATGATAAGTTTAATTAGAAATGTGACCACCATTCCCTTGGTGCTCAGTTCAGACTTAAGTCCTCTATTTATTTTGTATTGTGATTTTCTATTTTATTCTTACTCATAGTAATAATTACTTGAAAATATTTTATAAAAACATTAACATATACTCCCTGTTTGGTCACACAATTTGGTGTTTTATGGAGAGAAATAATTTTATTCACAAATATTTATTGAACATCTAGTGTGTGTTTATCTCAGTTGTGGACCATGAGGGTACAACTGTGGACAAAACAGTCCTGCCCTCCCGGAACTTAGCCGTGAAGGGAGGCAGATAATAAAGACACAGGTAAAATTTGTTTGTATGAGGGTGGTAAGTACTGTGGAAAAAAAATAAAGAGAAGGGGGGTATAGGAAAGTTTGTCATTTTAAATAGGATGGTCAGGGAAGACTTCACAGAAAAGATGACTTGTAGGCATAGACTTGGAGGCCATGAAGAAGTGACCCATGAGGCTGCACAGGAGAATGGTGTTTCAGGCAGAGAGAATGGCAAGGAGGCTGTTGTGGATGGAGAATAGTAAGGGGAGAGTAGTAGGAATTTTTCAGAAACACGAGCTACATTGCACAGGGCCTTGTAGGCTGCTGTAAAATTGGCCTTTATTCTGAATGAGATGGGAAACCATTGGAAGTTTTCAGGCAGAGTGAAGTGACGTTGCTTCCATTTCAAAAAGATGACTTTTTCAGCTATTCTGAGAAGAAGACAGTAGGGAGTAGCAGGAAACCAGTGAGAGGCACCTACAATAATCTGCAAGATGATGGTACATCACCACCATCCAACTACGGTGGCTGCACTGGAGACATTGAGAAATGGTTGGATTTTTAATTCATTTTGAAGGTAGAGCCAGAAGTATTTGCTAACAGATTGGATATCAAATTAGAGTTATCAAGGCATTGAGTCTGAATAATTTGGAGGATGTAATTACCATAAGTGAGGTTTGGGAGTGCTGTGAAGGAGTTGATTTCATAATTGTTGTGGGGCAGGAGATAAGCAGTTTTATTTCAGATGAGTGAGTTTGAGAGGAAAGGTGCATTTTCTACATACATAAGTTGTCCTATTCCAAGTGTGTGCTATACTTAAAGGTATAAAAAATAAAGGAAAATGAAATATGGTGTGCTCCAATCTGCGAAATACATATGTTTTGCATCTGTAATTGTTTTAAAGATACATTTGATTGCAAATATTTGACAACCAGTATTTCTAGCTTTTCTTCTTATATCGTTGGTCCATCGAATGCTTCTTTTTCTGTAAGACAAGAGCGTATTTTTTGTGTGTTATATTGGTTTGGTTTTCAGACAGATATACCCAGATATTCCATTACATTTCTATATTCCAAGGACTTATTTTTCAAGTATTATCAACTTTGGATGGCTGTGTGTTTATTTCAAAATGATATCACAGTTGCCCAAATATTTTTGAAATTCTGTTTTTGTGTTAATTAAAGAATTAGCTTATAAGCCACTCTGGAAAATCAGTCTTGTAGGAGTTTTTAATTTTTATATATTGACTTCTATACAACCTTTGCTTTGACATACTGTACACCGATATCCCTTAAGAGCCAAAAACCATTTACATGCCACGTTTGTTTTTTCAGCTGTCAGCAGACTAATGATATGGACTAAGAAGAATGCATGAGGGCTCTGCCTGGTGGAGACTATGCTGGCGGGCCATGATGGGGTCTTCCTGTTCTCTGCTTCCTGCCCCAGGACTAGGGGAGGAATAAATTATATATATAATTTATTTCCAAAGGATACTTTTAAAGTAAATGACACATATTGTTATATTTGCTAAAATGGGCTATTGTGGTTGGGTGTGGTGGTTCATGCCTGTAATCCCAGCACTTTGGGAGGCTGGGGCAGGTGACTTCCACTTTTCATTATATTTTGCATAGAAGTTACTGCATTGGTCTGATGAGAAAGAAAAACTGCTTTAAATTCAGGCCATTTCTTCCATCAAGTAAAAAAAAAAAAAATTCTCCCTGGAGTAAAGCTTTTTGCCAGTAGGGTTCTGTAGCTTGTGGGATGTACTAGGAAAAGGTGCACAAAAATGTGAAGCACATGAATGAAAGAATCCGTCTTTTAGCCTGTGTGTGAAAAGCCTGGTTTCTTTTTCATACTGTTATAGGAAGTATTTCAGATTTTATACATATTTGCTTTTTTCCATTTTGAAGTGGTTGCTCTGTGTATTCTTCCCAAAGGTATTTAAAATGAGAATACTTCTGTGGAATGTAAATATTAAGATTGATGTCTAAAGGTCATTTTTAAAATTTAAAACATCTGCTCTCCTTCATACTTAAATATTTATTGAACAGAAGTTGTATAAGCTGATGATGAGTCTTGATCTGGAATAGACCCTAGTCTGTGATACCAACACAGATTTGAATGAAGCTTGCCAAGGTTAGCACCTACTAGGTAAGTTCTACCAGCTGGGGGTAGACATCATCAGAGGTTTCCTCATTTTTCCATACCTTGTGTCTTTATAATGAATAGCTTATGCAGGCATCTTTGTTTTTGCCTTTCCTTGTAATACCACACATGCACGGCTGTGTTGTTGGGAACTTCCAGGAAAAGCTTGTTCAGGTAAGTAGAGCGGGAGAGCAGAAATTGAACTAATTTGTACTACCGAGTAACTGTGCTGTGTTGCTTCTTTGTCCCTAGATCCAATTCATTGGCCTCAGTGGATTCTGTGCTCCTAAGTCCCAGCGACAGAACATCTACTTAGTCATTGATATTGGGCCTTCTGCCTTTGTTGGAAATGGTTGCTCTGTGTATTTATATTCTTTGTTCATTCATCGTAATGATCCTGTTTCTAGATCCTCTCTGATTTGGTATTAATTGTAAACTTGCTGAGCAGAGAAGTTGTTTAAGATGGCTCTAATATGACACCTTGGTCCTTGATTTATTTTGCTGCTTTTTAAAATGGACTTATAGTATAAAGAGGCTAGTGTAAGAAATATCATTGAGGAGGCACAAGTATGTTGTTGGAATTAAGTCATTTGGGTGAGGAGATAAAAGAAGATTTAGGTAGGTCATGTAATTAAAGGGATGTCCATGACATGTGGATGTTCAAGAGGTGGGAAGGAAGGAAGACTGGATGACTGTGATTAGAGTCTGCTTCAGGGTAGAGAGCTTACCTTTTATTATCTTTGTGCCTTAGGGCTTGGCACTGTGCCTGATGTGTAGGTGTTCATTATATGATTTTGTGAAGCAGTCAAAGATGGAATAACTATCAAATAAGATGTTAAGAGTAATCTCTAAGGTTAAGAGGAAAAAGTAATGATTACATTATAAATACTAAGGAAACAGAAGCAGCAAAGAGGAATAGAAGGCAAATAAGGATTTTAAAAAAACAGTTAAAACATACCCATTTAACTTGAATTGAATGTCGTTTGATTACAAATTAAACGTAGTAAACTGACAATATGTATTTGATATTAAACTTCTTTACAGTAGTAAATATTAGGTATTGAAATCAAGCCTATTTTTTAACCATAAAAATACAGGACTTTTAATATGCCCCTTGTCTAGACCAACTGAACTTTATTTTACTTTAATTTGAAGTTTGTATTGGATAAAATATTTTGGTATCTTAATAATCAGATACCAGATTTTTACTAATTAAAATAACTATAATTGAATTTTCTTTTTGAATATTTTACCATTCAATGTAGTATTAACATTTAATATTATAAGTTAACTGATAAACTGCATGCATAGGAATTTGTGTGCATTAATTAAGGACTGTCATGTAAGTGTTCTTAAACTGAAGAGTTAATTGATTAAAAATTGAAAATATTCAAATGAGAACATGCTGAGAAAATATTTCATGGGAAAATGGATCAGGTGAAGGTTTGTGAGCAAGAAACTATGAATGCCTTTTAGGTGTGAATGATAAGGGATTAAAAATCATTTAAGACTTGTATGCTTATATATCTTATCTGTGTGTGGATCTGGAACAGCTAAGCTGCTACTTCAACTAAGACCAGACATGATATGTGAGTTATATAATCTTATGTGATCAGAATAATTCTTCCCAAAAGAAATTTTGATTGCTGTTTCCCTGCTTATGACACCCTGTTGCCTACAAGATGACACTCAACTCAGGCGGGCACACAGGACCCTTCATGATTGCCCTTTGTCTTGCTTTCAGCCTTATCTACACTTCATCTTTCACCTGTGCTCCTTCCTTGTCCCCCACTTTCCCCAGATTTCTTGTAGGGAATTTTCTGTATTCCTTTAAATATGTTGTAATATTTTCTACCTCATTTATTTGCTCAGGCTGCTCTTTCTGCCTTGAAATCCCCTGACATTATGAGGTCCTAAAAATATAACTTGAAAAATATTTAATGGTTTCTTTGGCGTCATACCATGTGTATTAAAAGTAATAAACAATTGAAATGTATATTCTCTACCTTGGTAACAATGGGTAAGAGTATAGAAATGACTTACTCATATATTCATTCAACAAATGTTTACTGAGCGTCTACTATTTACCAGGCACAGTTCTTGGCCCTGGAGATTTGAGATTGAGCAAAATAGACAAATCTCTGCCACCAAGGAACTTTTACACAAGTGGGGATGGCAGGCAGATAATAAACGGATATGACCAGGCTGAATTTCTGAGGAATATAAACAAAAGCAAGGAAAGGGGAAAAACGGATGGGAGGTGGGTGTTGATAAATGGTCAGGGAAGGCATTTCTGAGAAGGTGACATGTGAGTGTAGATGTGAAAGAAGGGAGGGAGCAAACCATGGGAATATCTGGAGGAAGAATGTTTCAGGAGGAGGGTGCAACAGCCTTGAGTATAGACGGCTTAGTGTTCTTAAGGAACAGGAAGGAGTTCATGGTGGCTGGAGTGGAATGAGCAAAGGGTCTGGGGGAGAAGGTCAGAGAGGTCGTACCTTGCTGGTCCTGGTTGGGGTGTAGCAATTTACTCCAAGTCAGAAGCTCTTTGAGCTTTTGAGCAGGATGGTGATAATTAAAAAAACCCTGCCTGTTGTGTAGAATGTAGACTGCATCGGGAAGAAGAATGTGAGAATAGCTGCAGAAAGACCAGTTAGGAGGCTGTGGTCATCACCTAGGTGAGATGTGTTGGTCGCCTGTATTAGGATGGGAGCAGTGGAGCTGCTGAGAAGTAGTGGGATTTAAGTATGTTCTGAAAGGAGAGCCAAGGGAACTAGCTTGTTGGAGTGGATATAGGGTAGCAGAGTACAATCAAGGATTCTGAAGTTTTTCACTAGAGAAATTTGAGTGATGTAAAGGTAGGCTCATATTGAGATGGGGGAATATCGGAAGGAGGAGCAAGGTTTTTGAGAGGTTATGGAATCAGGAATTTGATTTGGTTTTGTACTTCTTCTTCTTTTTTTTTTTTTTTTTTTTTTGAGACAGAGACTGGCTCTGTTGCCCAGGCTGGATTGCAATGGCACAACCTCAGCTCACTGCAACCTCCGCCTCCCGGGTTCAAGTGATTCTTGTGCCTCAGCCTCCCGAGTAGCTGGGATTACAGGCATGCACCACCATGCCTGGTTAATTTTTGTATTTTGGCCAGGCTTCTGTCAAACTCCTGGCCTCAAGTGATCCGCCCACCTCAGCCGTTTTGTACAGCTTAAGTTTAAGATTCCTATTATGTATCCTAAAGGATTTGTCACATAAGTATTTGGATATGTGAGTCTGAGGATGAGGGAAAGGTAGGACCTGGAAATACAAAATTGGGAACCCTCAGTTTACTGACGGTACTTAAGGAAGAGGTTAGGATAGGAGTCACCTAAAGAGGGAGTGTAGGCAGAGATGGCAAGAGGCCCAAGGTCCCCATCCTGGGACACATGTCTTTATAGGTTGGGAAGGGAAGAGTGTCCAGCAAAGGATTCTGAGGAGGCAGAGCCAGTGAAGTAGGAGGAAAACTACGGGAGTGTGGTATTTGGAGTCAAAGTGAAGAAAGAGTTTCAGGAAGGAGGAGGTGATCAATTGTGTCAGATGCTGCTGAGAGGTTCAGATGAGGTCTGGGAATTGCCCACTGGTATTGCCATTGAGGAGGCTTGCTGACCTTTAGTGGAGTGGAGAGGATAGAAATCTGATTAAAATGGGTTTAAGAATGAATGGACTGAGGAAGTGGAACCAGTTGGGATCAACTCCTCTTTTTGAGGAATTTTGATATGAAGAGGAACAGAGAAATGGAGTAGCAGCTGAGAGCGGTTCAGAATCAAGGTAGATTTAAAGTAGGAGACAACTTTGGAAATAATGATAGTTTTATTCCCCTTTTCTTCTTTGTTAAAAAGAAGACATGACTTACCTGAGGAAATTCTTAGCTTTAATATCTACAGTCGCTATAACATGAGAAAATTGTCATTGAACGAGATAGCACTTTTTGCATTGTGGTGCTAAAAAAAAATCTTTATTTTTGTAGAGATGGGGTCTTGCTGTGTTGGCCAGCCTTGTCTTGAACTCCTGTCCTCAAGCAGTTCTCCTGCCTTGGCCTCCCAAAGTGTTGGGATTACAGGTGCGAGCTACTGTATTTGGCCTAAAAAATCGTTTTATAAAGCATCAGATTTCAGTGCAGTTACAATGTGCTTTCTTCCTTTAGCTTTTCGGATGTTACATAGTGCCTTTGAATTATATGGAGCTGAACTGCCCCATGTGAGATTTTCTATAAACCTAGAAGTAATTTCAGAATAAAAATTTTACACAATTATATGTCTGAAACAAAATTGGTGAAAGTTCTGTTACTCTAATTCTTGTAGAATATCTAAATAGTATTAAAAGAATCAAATAACTTTTCCAAGTAATTCCTTCCACTTAAAAAAAAGTGTTGCGGCCGGGCACGGTGGCTCACACCTGTAATCCCAGCACTTTGGGAGGCTGAGGCAGGTGGATCACGAGGTCAGGAGATCCAGACCATCCTGGCTAACACGGTGAAACCCCATCTCTACGAAAAATACAAAAAATTAGCTGGGCATGGTGGCGGGCGCCTGTATTCCCAGCTACTTGGGAGGCTGAGGCAGGAGAATGGTGTGAACCCAGGAGGTGGAGCTTTCAGTGAGCTGAGATCACGTCACTGCACTCCAGCCTGGGTGACAGAGCAAGACTCTGTCTCAAAAAAAAAAAAAAAAAAAAAAGAAAAAGAAAAAAAGTGTTGCATGGGTATGTCAATTAAAAAAAGTACTTAAAGAAAATTAGCTGATTCGTGCTACTTGATGTTTTACTTGATGTTTGTTCTGATAGGTAGGATTAATTCTACTTAAAATTATACTGTTCTGGTACTACATTTTATAAGTGTTTACATGCTCATTTTAATTTCCTGCTAATTGCAATGATAGCACAATAATGAATTCTACCTATAAATTACATTATCTACTATTAAAATACAGTTTCTTGGTTGTGACACTTTATGCTACTCCACAAAGAGGGAAAATACTTTTGTAAATGAAAGGAAGAGCAGAATGGTGGTGGGTTTTTCTGACTGGTATTTAACATGTGGATAGATTCTTCATACATAGATAATATGCATCATGGGTGAGTCACCAAATTTTAATAAGAAAACCAATTATTTGTGTATATTTTGAAAGATGATGCCTCATAATTTTATTCCTCCTTTGATCAGATAGGACATTTTGTTTAGTAAAATTTCAGAAGACAGATTCCTGCTTCCTGATTGGCATCAATTATCTTACAACACCCCCAATTTTTTTGGAAATGTATGCCTGCCAACTCTTTATTTGAAGAGTTATTTGCTTGCTTTGGCAAAATTGACTCTTGATGAGTGTTCCCCTCTTCTAGCATTTGCTACTCACTAAATTTTCCTCGTGTGTGCTGATGGTGGTAAAAACTCTTGTCACCTTTCTAATCTGTTTGGTAAACCTTATCTTTGATACTTCATTATGTAACCATGGGTTCTCAGTTCTCTCTCGACTCTTACCCTGCAGCTTTGTAGTTACAAGGGGAAATATGACAGTGAGAAAGGAAGAAAATCCACAGAGAGAGAAGAGACTGTGCACTGAACTTTTTCATTAAAACTTTTATAAACTATAAATAGCTCCTTTCACCTTTAGTCAAAGGAAATATCAAGAAGGCCTGTAGGGTAGCTCCCTATGGCTGTTTAAAAAGTGTTTGATTTTTATGGAATAGTGCAAAAGCAAATTGCAAAGTCAATAGAAACAGGAATACTGGAGAAGAATTGACAGGAACTGATAAAATTAAGGAGTGACTGAGAAAATGAGTCTGACAGCCCATGGCTGATACAGAAGAAAGTGCCAGACTGATCTGAACCAAGAGAACCAAGACAAGTACAAGCCCTCCTGCAGAAGTACAGGACCCAGGATGGGAGTCTGTGGTTCCTAACAGCTTAGTGCCTGATCACACTTAAACATACATTATGCTTATCACTGGATTGCAATAACGCTTGCTTTACTGAACACTATTCTAAGTAGTTTGTACATCATTTAGCCCTGCAGCAACCCTCTTAGGTATAGGAACTATTCTAAGTATTCCCATAAGATTGGTACCTTGCCCAAGGCTTGGATCAGGAACACAGATTTGTCTGATCCTTGAGTTTACATTATTCTTAATCTAGCTGTTCTGCATCTGACTTTATGTTGAAGTTAGTGCCCCAGTGCACCTGTTTATATGGCTTCATCTGTGATGTTTTCTCTTTCCTCCTTATCAAACCTGTTTTAAACCTTAGAGTTCTGAGTTAAATAACCTTGGTGGGTGTGGCAGGAAATCTCTGAAACAAGGTGGATCCATGCTGCATTGTGATTCCTTGCATTCAGGTGGTCCTGCCAGGGCTGCAATTACTAGGTGCCCTTAGACGGAACTAGTTATGATGGGGTCAGGCAGAAGGTACCTCTGTGTTTCATGTGAGCTGAATCTTTCCTAAATGATTAAGAGAAACAGTGGTTATTGAGGGAATCATGTGCTTCAGGGGAGGACTGATAAAACTAAGTTAATCTATTAGGCCTTTGTATTGTGATAAGTAAAACTTTACTTTCCCTAAATTAGAATAAATATTGGGGAGAGGAAGAGAGAGGTGTAAAGATGGTCTCCAAGTTCCTGGTGACTAGCTGTTGTAACAGTCCCCAAAGCTATATTTTTCTTAACATAGGTGGAAAAAAAGTTTGGTTGTCTGTGTCCAGGGCAACTAGGAAAAAATATGTCTCTGTCGCCAGGCTGGAGTGCAGTGGTGTGATCTTGGCTCACTGCCACCACCGACTCCCTGGTTCAAGTGATTCTCCTGCCTTAGCCTCCCGAGTAGCTGGGATTTTAGGCATGCACCACCATGCCCAGCTGATTTTTGTATTTTTAGTAGAGACGGGGTTTCACCATGTTGGCCAGGATGATCTCAATCTCTTGACCTCGCAGTCCGGCCACCTTGGCCTCCCAAAGTGCTAGGATTACAGGCGTGAGCCACTGTGCCTGGCCTGATAAAACACATCTTTGAACCATATGTTCAAACCGTACTTGGAGTACTTGGCAGAGTACTTGGAGACCCTGGAGTCCATCCAGATAATCTTCTACCAGAGGGGAGAAAAGAACCTTTATTCATAAAGGTTCAAATTACAGAAATCATTCGAATCTTCTAGGCTGTGCTCCTATGATATTACAAAAGTTCTTTGTTGAATTATCAAATTACATCCATATATAGATAATAACTCTGGTGCTAAGAGTGATCATTGCCAGTCTGTGGATATACATGCATCTCCAACCCCCAGCATTTTACTTATTGAATTCTCTGTGACTCTAGTATTCAGAATTTGATTACCTAAAGTGAAAATCTGCCAATTTTGCCTGATCTGTCATTCTGAGGCCTTCTCAACTTGAACTCCCATAGTATTTTTCTCTTACCTTTTCTATGACAATTATTTTCATATTATATTTATTTGTATAAGTATCTGTGAGAGCAGCAGTTGTGTCTCGTTCATCTTTATACCTCCTGTAGTGATTAATACAAAACTCAATAAATGGTTGGTAAATGAATAGAACACAGAAAAAATCTTTCAGTCGTGAAATACAGAAAATGTAGTTTACTTTACAATGTCTTCTTAGCACTTTCTTTACATATTCCACAAATCCCTAGTGTACTTCTTTGGCTTTTTCCAAAATCCCCTCGATATTACTTGTTTAATTTTTAATAACCCTTTTTCCTTCGTGGCCAGAAGCCTTTAAAGGTCAGGATCGGTGCAACAAACCACTTTCAGTTTCACATTTTTTATCACATTTCTTAGCTACTTATGTGTGGCAGTATTTACCAACAATTTGTAGGTGGTATCTATAAGGATAGTCAGTTTATTTCCCATTAGGTACTGTGCCTAAAATTTGAGCATGTGTTACCACAGCAACTTGGATGTCTGGTTAAACTAATTGGTCAAAGCATTCAGGCTTCCTGCAAGTTCAGATAACTGATTAGTAGCTAATGTTCTATGGCTTTCCTCTATAAATTATAAGAATAAAAATGTTAATATAATAATACTCAATTTAGTACAAATTTTTATATAGTTAAGTGTGTGAAGTAGCTTTGTAAAAACCTTGACTGCTATTAAACCCATCCTTTCCTACCATTATATAAGTTAACATCTATCTTGTATCTCCCTTTCCTAGAGTTTAAAACAAGACATCTATTAAGTTATTTATTCTACTTCTGGTGTTAGTGGTTCACAGTAGCTCCGTATCCTTTCTGTACATGTATCCCCATGGGTACCAGCACTCTTGATTATAAGGAGCTGAAAATCAACTTGAAGTGGCTAAAGAAAGAAATAGATTTATTGGGAAGAGAAGTATTGCAGGATAGAAACAAGAGCTGAACAACTGCGCTTTAGAAAGTCAGGCATCCAGCAGAGCTAGCACCTCAGCGGGTGCTATCTCCATGTTATCAGTGCTGTCTGTCTCTATGCTACCCTCATCTCCTAATTTTACTACCTGATGGCTTTAGGGTCTGAGTTGAGCTTCTTTACAGGTCGAGAGACACTGCCACTGGCTGCCTCTAAGCGAATGCTTTCTCTGCTTTGCTACCATCAAGGGTGGAGGGGAGGGGCGCAACTGAGCTCTGGCTGAAAAAGTCCCAGGGAAGGATTACTCTAAGTTGGATTCCTTGTCTGTTCCTGGATAAGGTGCAGCCCTCCTTAGACTGCAGTGGATGGCGTGGGGTGGAAAAACCATTCCCCAGGAAGAGAGAAAAAATGTGCTGGCCATTCCAAACAATTCGGTTCTACTTCTTTTTAAGAAACAGGAACCTATCCTATTTTAATAAACACTCAGGGAAAGCATTCCACAAGGGATGGCAAAAAGGATTCGACTAATATTTGGGTGCTGCTGTTGTCACTATGTTACCGAATACAAAAGGGTTGCAGAGTAGGTTAAAGCATTTCAGAGTTGTTAATATCCCTGTGACTTATGCATGTTTGTAGTGAACCTGATTTCACTCTCACCCAGTGATACTGAACTGTTAAATGATCTATGATGAATCTTCTTTAGCCAAAAGCCTTTTTTTGGTTTTCTTTCTGTTATTGAAGAGCGATGCACACATGGTTTTGGAATGATCTAAATTATATCAGTATTAGCTTGAAAAGGCAAATACTAAAACAATGCCACAGGAAAGTCAATTAAATTATATAGGGATACACATTTTAATTTCAGTTTTTAATGTCTTCAGTTGGTTATCCTTTATTTGTCCTAAATATTTATTGTCGAATATCCAGCACTGTTAACCATTCTTTCCCAAGGGCCTGCTTCCTATTTTATTTCTTAGGTGTATGTAGAGTGAGACAAAAGAAGTATATTACTTAACAAATACTTTTTATTTGAGTATTTTCAAGTATGTACTACATAAGTGGCAAAGGTTTTCTAGATTTAAAACTGTCAAATGTAATTAAAAATTATTTCTGTATGTTTATTTGGCAGGCTCTTTTAAGAGGGTTTTCTTCCTTTTGAGATTTTCCTAATTTTTCAAACTAAGTGAAAATTTGGAAAGCTGGGACAAAGTCCCTAAAAGCAATAAAACTCACTTATAACCCCCAACTAGAAAATATGTTTTCTGTTGTTGTTGTTGTTTTGTTTTTTTTTTCCTTTTCAGAGTTTATTCAGAAACTTAGGTAAGTTTTTGCAAATGAGACTTAGCTTCTTAAGCAGTTTTTTGATAGTCATGGGATTGTAGCCTCTGTCCTCAATGGCATTTTGACACCAGGAAGAGAGAAAATCCTCACATCTTTTCTCAGTGCCATTTGCCTTTCTTCTTGATGCTATCCCAAGGATTTTATGTCTGCCATTGAGGTCTTATAATTTAATTCACATTTCTCAGATCATATTAGTGCTATACATTTGGAACTCTGTGATACTGTTATTTCGTGGATGTGGTCATAATAAAATCACTTTTACATCCGGATCTTCTCCATGCTACACACTTGAGGCATGACACCACATCAGAACTCCAGTTGTGTTTCTGCTTAGGGTGTAAAAATGAAAAACTGTGCCGTGCCCATGTGAATGCCCATGCATTTTAGATATCACCTGAATAAATAAGTAATAAATACATAAATGTGCATGTATATGTATGTAGAAACCATATGTATGGTTGATATATAGAAAACCAGTATCTGTTTTAATGCAGACACAAGTCTTTTGAAACAAGGGTTTGTAATTGAATTAATGAGGAAGCAAAAACTGAGATGCAGACAAATTATTATCCAGGATAATTTGAAACAAGGGTTTGTAATTGAACTAATGGGGAAGCAACAACTGAGATGCAGACAAATTATTATCCAGGATAATTGAGGGCATACAACCAGGAAACACAACATGTAGGGATGAGGACATTTATTTCATAAAAAGGAGTAGGCTGAGCCAGCAGCGGTGGTGCACACCTGTAATCCCTGCTCTTTGGGAGGCCAAGGAGGGTGGATCACTTGAGCCCAAGAGTTTGAGACCAACCTGGGCAACATGGCAAAATCCTGTCTCTACAAAAAATACAAAAATTAGCTGGGCATGGTGGCATGCACCTGTGGTTCCAATTACTCAGCAGGCTGAGGTGCTGAGTGGGAGGATCACTTGAAGCTGGGAGGTCCAGCCTGCTGTAACTCATAATCGTGCCGCTGTACTTCAGCCTGGGCAACAGAGTGAGACCCTGTCTCAAAAAGAAAGCAGTGCCCTGAAATCAGATTTTTTTGAAAGCCAGGCAAAAATAAGATTTTTAAAAAATGATAGTCTGCATCTACCAGTTTCTGTTATAGAGTCATAATTGTCAACTTTACACGCTGCTTCTTGACAACCTTAACAATCTGAAGTTCCCTTGCTATAGCTCTAGCTTTGGATTTTAATTTCCAACTTAGATGAAGTTCATAACAAAACATTTTTTCACCTGAACATATTTTCTGCAGTTCATAGGGATCAGCACAGGATTTATCTTTAGCCAAGACATGTTACAGCATCCATTGTATGCAAAATTGTATCAGCAATGTAGGGAATGCAGAGATGAAGAAAATGTGGCATGTATGTGTGTTTATTAGAATTGTGTTGTTTTTATTAGTGTTCTGGATGTGTAGGTTTTGAATGGTCTTCCTCAATATCATTTTCCACATAAGTCCTTTGGTTTTTAGGGTGTAATTTAACAGAATGTAAAGTTTTGCTGGGAACAGATTTATTGGGTTGTGATAGAATCACCTATGTTTATTGATAAAGTTAGTTCTTTTTTCCCCTACAGAATCAAGAAAACACTCAAAGTTGTATAATATTAGGAGGAAAATCTCAACATTGCCATGCAATGTCGTGCATGACATATGGATAGGTTTGGTATTGTGGTTAAGACATGGCTGTTAAACATTCAGTTTAACAGATTCCTCCAGAATTTCACGGTGTTTTGGGAAAGTATTTTAGATAAGTGACATTTCTTCAAATATATGAGATTGTAAGTAGTGAGTGACATCAGAAGAGAATTAAGTCATAAAGTTTTTAGGGTTCACAAAAAGGTTGGGGTTTAGGCTTACTAAAACAAAATGAACATTTAAAAATCAATAACATGAAATTTTACCATAAAAATTTACAACATAAAATAGATTACTAATATATTACTAAATATAATCTATTTTAAAAGAGAAAGTATTTGCTAGGGTTATATGGAATTATAATCATTTGAAAAGCAACTTATTTTTGGAAAATTTCTGTTTTCTTTATTACTTTTGAAAATAAATTTATAATTTTTTCCTTTCTTTTAGACTTAAAAGTTTTAATGAAGCTAATTCATAAAGTAGCTGATTATTATAGTTAGATTCGTATATATAAAGTACTCTTTTCTTCCCTCATATTTAAAATTTTCTTAGTGTTTCTTTTTCCTTGTTCTGTTAAAAAAAAGTGTTTTCCCTTCACAGGCTTTTGGTAGAAAAGGAAAAAAAAAGATAAAGATAGAAAAAAAGTAATTCTCTATCCCTTTCTTCAGTTCTTTTTTCCAGGTTTTAAAAAATTGTTTGGCCCCACCTGTCCTTCAGACCCTATTTATGTGAAGATCAGTCATCTGGCAGCCTCTTGTGTCTGAGATAGCTCCACGAAGGCTGACATGAAACAAGGGTTTCTGAGTACTGCAGAGCCTGTGGAGTAAGGCCTACATGTTTTCCACTCAGGAGAAAGTTCATGGTTCTGCTTTGAACCCACCTGTTGACTCGAGCCATTCACACCCTCTTCTAATAAGCCTGATTATCTAGTTGCCCAATACGGGGATGGCTGAGGAAGCCTGTAGCAAGAAGACTGAGGAGAGTGTGGTGATATTAGAAGGAAGAGGCACATATAGGGCCATAATAAGTCGATTTTGATGCTAAAAAGAGAATGAATCATAAAAATGAAGCAGAAGAACACTTAGATGTCAGATTATTGAGATTAGGAGCCAGTTGGCCCTGTATACCTACTGTTAAACCCCGAGGGCTGCTGCTGATGTTTATAATTGGCCCCATCATCAGTTGAAGATTAGATTGTGTTTATTATAATCTCTTTTAAAAGTCAGGGAAGTGCATACTACTTTTTAGAATTTAAAAAAGTCTCATATAAAGACAGGCATTTCAAAGGATCGATTTTTGTTTACTCACAAAAATGACCTAGTAGATGTTAGTCTTGTTTTTCTCTCTGTCCACTGAGATTGTTTTTACAAGCCTTTTTGTCTCTTCTCTTTGAAGCTATAATTTTTATTTTAACCTCTACTGTTGTTCTTTTATGGCATAGTTTCAGACATCTCAATGGCCTCTAATAAAGATATTCTTAACACCATAGATTGTGAATCCTGTATGACATAATGATTAATTTCCTGCAGCTTTGCGCTCTCCCTGCTCTCTTTACTTCTGCTTTATAGTCAGACTTGGTGTCTACATGCTTGTTGAGACTATTATTTTCCCCTACCCATTCCTCAAGCTACCCATCCATTTCCACTCTACATATGTCCACAGAATTTGTTTGAACTTCTGTCATCAGCAACTCTTCTTACTGTTTATTTATTCAGCAAGTACTGAGTGCTGTCCTAGGGGCTGGGGAAACACAGGAGAACAAACGAGAAGTCCATGCTCTTAAGCAGTTTACATTCTAGTGGGGAAGGAAGACAAACAAAGTAAATTAATGAACAAAAACAGTGTAATGTGATAGGGGAGGGAGGAGCAACAGCAGAGGAAAGCCAGAGAAGGACTCTGAAGAGGCAATACCTGAGGTCCAACTGAGTAATGGGAACAAGTCAGCCAAGGGGTTATCTGGGAAGAACATTCTAGGCAGAGAGAACAGCAAACAGAAACATTCCTGAGAAACCAGCTTTGAGGAAAAGAAAAATTGTCCATTGTGACTGAACCATAGTTGGATGAGTGTTGTGCTCAGATCCACTTGGTCAGTGGGTGCCTAGGGTGAACAGAAGTCCTTCCCGTCCAGGTCTCAGTCAGTGACTGATCAGCCCAGGGATACAAAAGCCTGGCCCTCTTGCTTCAGGGGAGACTAATGCTGGGTGTAGTTTTTGTCTGAGGCCACATTCTTCCTTGGCTTTTCCCCTCCCTGTCCTGCCTCCCCATTTCTTTTCACTGAGGGCACTGCCCCCAATAAATTGTAAGATCTGGGCCCAGCTCTGTTTCTAGGAAACCCTGACCTAGGCATATAAGCAAACTTTTGATCTATCATCTGAGCTCCAGACCCTTAGACAGCTGCTTGTGCAACATGTCCACTTGGATGTTCAGAGATACCTAAAACTCAATGTGTAAAAAATTGAGTTTATAATAGTTTCCTCTTTTCCTCAAGCTTGTATTCTTCCTGTGTTCACTGGTTTACTTTATGAACCAGCCTTTTACCTAGTTATACTAGAGAATTCAGTATAGATTTTCCCTTTCCATAGACTTCATGTCCAGTCACTCAGCAGGTAACCCATGGTGAATGCCTCTTACCTCTGTTGTTTTTCCACCCACATTTTCATGGCTTTAGTTCAGGGCCTTGTCTGAAACACTAGCTTAGCTTCCCAAGTGGCCTCCCCACTTCCCTTCCTTCACCTCTCCAATCCATTTCTACACCATTACCCTGTCGTAAGATGAAAAATCTCATCCAGCCACTCTTCTGCCTCTAGTCCTGTAGGGCTTTTCTATTGGATAAAATGGCAACTTCATATAGGATAAAATTCCCAACTTTTTAGCATGGCTTACAGGGCCCTTTCTGCCCTGGCATTGAGCCACCTTTCTTCTGAGCCTTCGCAGTGGTGACCACTGTGAGTATGGCTTGGTTATTTCCTCATACAGCTTCCAGTTTCAGGCTTCATGCTATTCCCCAAATGTCCTTCTTCTCCTGGGTAGTACTGGAAGCTTCAGCTTTACGTTACCTCCTCTGTGAAGTCTTTTTTTGAGCCACCTAAGGAATATTATTTATACTGAATAGAGCACTCTCAAAATACTCATTTCAGTGTATTATAATCACTTGCTTTATTTCTAATCACTTAAGGCATTCATTGAATGCAGAGCACATGGCTCTTCACATTGCTAGGCACATTAGCACGTTTGCTGAATGAATAGATGAAAGATTAAAGGAGAAATGTTACTGTGTTTGTTGGTTTTTATACAAGATATCTTAGTGAACACAAACATTGTACGAATGTTAGGGGAAAGGGGATTGCCTAAGAAGAACCTTTAGCCCTAAAATTTGGAGTTGGGAAATTCATTAATTTTTTAAATGTTAATTTAATATTTGCTAGATGCCTAGCATTGTATTATGTGGTATTTAAGTAAATTTTGAAAAATGCAATTGGCGTGATTTATCAAGGGCCTTAAAATGGGGAAAATGCCAACAGTACAAGAGAGTTTTATGAGGTGGTGTATGATTAAATCTTGAATGACTCAAATAAGAAGTGCTGTTGGTTCTGGAAAAGGTGTCTTTGTGGGCTGGAGGGATAACCAATCACAAAAAAGTCAGGTTCTTGAAAGACCTGTTGAAGTCTATTCTGCAAAAATGATGCTCATATAATTCAATAGTTTTCAGATATTAAGGAGATAGCTTTCTCTTTTGACTTTGTTGAAGATGAAAGTATGTAATATTTGTATTTGAACAATAACTTTTTAAAAAGATTTTACATGAGCTTTTGTGTTGTAAGAAAACAAAGTTGAATTATCTTCACAGTGTCATTCAAAATGATGAAGGTGAAGATAGTTTGCAAGTGGGAGAAAGAAGAGATGATTCATTTAAACCAATTAGGATGTGAAGGGAAAACACTTTGCCTGAGGTTTCTCATCATCATTGTATACCCTAGTTTGGGGAGCTTTGGGAATATCGACCACTTATCATTGACACAGTAGTTACCGCCTCTTGTAATTTTTAAAATACGTGAATATTTACAAGGTTAGATTTCATGCCTTTTTTATTTCTTGCCTAAGGTATTTCTCAGTTGTATTGTTGTATCTTAATCTAATTTATGTCCTTTTGTGATTCTGTGTACCGAGGACAGGAACTCCTTTAAAAAAGAGTGGATCAACCACTCTCCTGTAGGGGTCGCTATGAGAGTAGCAGTCTGGCATCCTTCCTTTGCCGCCTAGCACCTTGTGGCATGACTTGGCACAATTTGCCTAAGGGTTGTGAGATCTGGCTTGTTTTGGTATTTTATTTTTCAGAATGGTATGAGCTCTAAGTCCACCAAAAATTCTGCAAGCTCATAACTATGCATTCTTTTACTTTGGTTCTGTGTATGCTGCATATGCTGCACCTGTGCTTTTTTTTTTTAACCACATATTTGGTGCGTGGTTATTTTAGACTTCTCATCATACTCCATTTGCATATGACAAATATATACACGTAGACACCATTTTAGCAGCTTTTGCAGCATGCATGATGGTGGCTGAAACTTGGCCTTCTATAGGATCCCAGATTATTATTTAATGGGGTTGTCACTCAGGACACTTACTGGCTTTCTCCAGTGCTCTTAAAAAATTGAATTGAGCATGATGAGGTGCATCCCCTTGATTAAATGTTTTTCCTCCTATGCAATCACCATTAGCTGTTTGGCTCCCATTCTGTATTCTTCTGAAGCAGCCCTGCATTGCAAATCAATATCTTTCTGAAAAGACAGTGTGTTGTGAATTGCCTTGACAGCATATGCACGGTTACTTTGGCTGCAATGCTGCTGCAGAGCCCGGTTACTCTGCCTTCGTGGGAACTCCACAGGCAAGTCCATCGTGTTTGGAAAAAAAAATTAGATTTTTTGGAGAAAATAATTGAGCTGTTAAAGCTATTGATACTGAATGTTAGCATGTCCTTTGAGTTCTTCTCAACAGTTTTTGGTCTTATTCCACTGAGATTAGCTTCTCTTAGGGGATTTCTGGGCTTTTTTTTTTTTGCTTGCTTATGCATCCCCCTCTCTTGGTTGTAGTACGGCCGTACCATTTCAGCTTGCTAGTGCAGAAAGATGTGAATTCAGTTGCTGTATGAGCCTGGCCTGGTGCAAACACATTGCTAGAGACATGTTAAAGAGTTCCAGGTGAATCAAGCCTGAGGGAGACAACAGCAAAACGGTAAGACAGAGCATGCTTAAAATTACAGGAGGGGTTTTAATTTGGAGCATCTCGGCAAGTCTGAATCCTGACTCACTCATTTACAACTTAAAAAGGATTCATTTTATGCATGTCATTTTACTCACTTCCTTCTATTTAACTGCCAGAAACATCACAGATTGATAAAGGGGGTATTTAAATTAGAGACTGACTGGAGGTTACTCATGGGAGAGTCTTTTGAGGCTCCCGAGGCTACTGCTTGTAGTTTGTAAACACCAGTAGCAGTGATAAGATGGGGAAAAGGTTTAACGACTGCTTCTTTGCCATATCTGAGTCTTATTCCTTCTGAAACTAGTCTTTATTTATTACAGCTGAAAGAGATCTTACATTTTTTTTTGCCTGGCTGTGCTTGGCTGAATGCCCTCTGAGTCAAGCAAGTGAAGGACGAGAGACTACTTTTTCCATTTGAGTAAACTGATGTCCATGAATTTAGCTGGATTGGATCTGAGTAGAATAAATATCTCTAATATATTAGAGACCTGGGGCTTCCTCCCTGCTCATCCTATTTCCTTCCTTTTTGGATCACAGAAATACACCTGCTTTAAGTGTGTACTGCTGAGCAGAGGTCAGTGTGCTGGTATTTTGCATCATTACACCTGTAGTGGTTATGCTTTTATGTACAGAAGTGATAATTCTTCGTGCAGTTCTGCGTGAAGTGCCAGCTCTAATAGTAGACTATTAGCATTTTGGATGCTAATGGAGAACCCCTGCATTCATGAAGGACCGTGGTAGCAGACAGCCTACTCCAATGAGGCTTACCTGCTTGTAAAGCAGATAAAATTGAGAGATAGGAATGTAAACCTTGACGTCTTCAGAGACTGAATTTTTGTTTCCTTTGTTAATTGTCACACAGTTGACATATTTGATGTGGCGGGGGTTTGAACTTGAAGGACATGTTTTAATAGTGTTCAAAGTGAGATTAATAACATTACTTAGTCCTAGTGACTTTATATGGATCCACCTATTATTATATAGGTGCTGAATGTTAAGGATGTCAGCATTTGATTTTTTGCTTTAAAAATATTCCACTTGTGTATAGTTTAATTAACTTAGTACTTTATGTAAAATGTAGATGGTGAATGTTAAAAAAATCAGTAGCTTGCATGTTGGCTATTATACAGAACTGGCATGTAGCCAGTTCTGTATAATTTTGTGACATAAGTAAATTTAAGAAAGATCGCCTGATTAGTTGATAGGCTAATTGAGAGAAATATGGGTAACTGTTGTGGTTCACTATGAGTAAATTTCTTTAAATGGTGCAGTGCTTCTGTATTCACTCAACTATTTACTGTTGAGGTTGGACATTGATTGTTGGGAGTGAATATTTGGATTTTCTTCCAAAGATAGATCAAATTTACCTCTCTTTTTTTTTAAACTTTTTTTTTCTGTTTGGAAGATGATGCGCCCTGTGTTTACTGTTTCTTTTTCTGAGAATCTTGTGTTTTAGCTATTCATATTTTTACCTTTACTTTGTGTGAGTTGTGAGGATTTTTTTTTCATCCTGTGACAGAAGGAATTGTAAGTTTGCGAAAAGTAATTTTTAAAAAGTAGAGCAATAACGTGACTGATTTTACAATCATACGATATTTCTCTCATTCTGCAAATATTGATTAGCCACCCACTATGTGTAAAACATTGTAAGACCTGCTGTAAAGGAAGTATGGATGAAACAGTACATTTTCCTGAAGAAGCTTAGATATAGTTGTGTTAGTATTTTCCCCTGGAATACGCCCCATTATACTTTCTCATGGATAGTCAGTTTGGTGCTTTTTAATCCTCTCCTTTTAAAAAAGCATTTTTTGGTTAAACATTTTTGGAGTCTGTTGTGTAATAGTGGTGAGTAAAACAGATCTAGTCCTGGTTCTTATGGAACTTATAGTCTACTATGTTTTTTTTTTTTTTTTTCAATTGAGCCGAGGGTCTCACTATGTTGGCCAGGTTTGTCTTGAGCTCCTGGACTCATGTGACCCTCCTGCTTTGGCCTTCCAAAGTACTGGGATTACAGGCATTAGCCACTGCACGCAGCTACAGTCTACTTTTAAAAATATTTCAAAGAGAAAATATGTGGCAAGTTTTTTTTTTTCATTTTGGTAGTTATGAAGGAGATATTGTATGCTTTGATATTTTTTATTGTGGTGAAATATATATAACACAAATCTTGCCATTATTACCATTTTTAAGTTTATAATTCAGTGGCATTAGATATATTCACAGTGTTTTCAACCATCACCACTATCCATTTCCAGAACTTTTTCATCAACCCAAACAGAAACCCTACCCTGCTCTCATTAAATAGTAACTCCCCATTCCCCTTCCCCCTGCCCCTGGTAATCTTATTCTACTTTCTGTGTCTGTGAGTTTGGCATTCTAGGTACCTCATAGTAGATTAAATTGAGTCATATGTATTTTTTCTTTTGTCTCTGCCGTGTTTTAGCATGTTTTCAAGGTTCATCCATGTTGTATCATGTATCAGAATTTCATTCCTTCTTAATGCATTCTTTGATTTTTATATGGGATAGACAGCAGTTTTTCCTCATATGATGACATGAATCAAGTTCCTATATGGACATCGTAATAAATACTTTAGATATACTAAAATAGCCTATGGGAAAGGGCAAGGAATAAGGAATAGAAATGCACTGAGAGGAAGAGTTATGGATATATTATATATTATTTTCATATATTTATCTATGGATGTATTATAATTGAGATGCTAAGATTTTCACATCAATTCTTTGCTGATAGCAGCATTCAGCTGAAATAATTGGAAGCTGGGCCATGGCTTTTGTCATTATTAACATTTGAATTTCACCCACTGTACTTGTGTCTCCTTTCTCTATTTTACTTCATAAGCAAAGACTGATCATGTTGAGGTCTTCTTACAGAGTCAGAGACTCTTAGAGCTGGCAGGTACTTTAGAAATTGTGTTATTTAATTGGTTCATTATCATTCATTAGCCAACGTGAGAGGGAAACTCAGTCTCCTGCTGCCCGCCATGGGCCTTCTTTTACTCCCCACCCCTGTTTTCAGTGGAAACAACCAGAAAACCCCAAGTATCCTCTGAGTTTGACAGAAATAGTAGAGGGTGTAAATTTGATGCCACATTAAGAAGTTTTCCGTTGGATGAGGTAAGCCTAGCTTCATCAATACAGCTTTCTGTTTCTCAGATTTCTTCCTGATACTGCTTCCATAAATCCAGATGGTTTTTCTGAGGGGACCCTTTTTAGAAAGCCAAGTTAAGGCCTCAGTGCTGTTCATTTATTTTCTGTCGACCATTTTGACAGTTCTTACACTGGGTCAGTCAGCAGTTTATATCCATGCTTTTAACTCACTATCCAGGGGACCCAACCATTTATAGAGGAAGAAGATTCAACATAGCAATATCCAATACCTGAGTCTTCCCAAATAAGCCTGCTCCTTCTTAATGGGTCTTGCTTTCTATCCCCCTAACTGTTTTTCTGTCCTCCTAACTGTTTTTCTGTTATGGCCTGACTTTTATTATGAGACTAATTCAGAATCAGATTAATCAAATGCATGTTAAATTTGAGTGGTAGGTTTGTGGGGAGAGAGGGAAGATGGGCCAGAAAACCTTAAACCAGTGAGCAGTTATTTTGCACAGCTTTGGAAGTACTTTTTTTTTTTTTTTTTCATCAGGAGAGATAAGAGAGAATGGAGAGAAATGGAGAGAATTGCAGATAAAGTTGTTTTTTGTTTACTTCTCTCATGATGTAAGTCCCAGGGGACATGTACGAAAGACAATACAGTGGTCAAGAGCTTGTGCTTTGTATTCAGAGTCCTGTAATCAATCCCATCTCCTGTGTTTATTTTCTGTGTGGCCTTGGACATGTTACTTAATTCATGTGTGCCTCAATGTAACCATCTGCAAAATTGAGATAATACTAGTCACCTTTCTTATGAGGTTGTTGTAGAGATTAATTGGGAAGCTATTTTTAAAGCATTTTTATAGTAATTTATGTAATAAGAGCTCAACAAGTTAGCCATCATCATCATTGTCATCTCATCTAGAAATCCTTGATTTCCATCTCTTTTCTATCAGCTGCATTATATCTTGCCCAAGATCCTTCTGTAGTTTGACTATAGAGCATATGTAATTATTTCTTAGTGTTATTGAGTCTGAGTGGATAAAAGGAGGATGTAACAGAAAGCTCCAATATCCTGTTTATCATCTGGCAGACTTTGGAAGGGTAAATGTTCTTTAGACTTACTTTTCGGCCCAGTTGATAACACATTTGCCCCAGCAGCTTATTCCTCAGGTAAATGAAATCTTGCTAAAAATACAAAGTTGACAGTGAAACGCTTCTGGAAGCACTGGGGTTTGTTTTCCGGTGACAGACAAACAGCAGGATGTGTGTATCCCACTGCTGTGCTCTATTCACCTTGCATCTCTCAGGCAGGATTTGGTATTGACTTTTCTCAGCTACAGGAAAGGTTTACAGAACTGGTCTTCATGAAATCAGTTAGGAGTGTTATTAATGGGTTACTGTCAAATTTATTATTGCTGAAATTTTGGCTCTTTATAATAGATGAATCAATTGTTAAAGCAACATTGAAAGATACTTCCATTTTCTCCTCAAAGGTTCATTGTTCCCAGTGTTCCTCTTCATAAGCTCTGTGTGGTTAGTGACCCATATATGATTCTCTGAAAATGTTAAGAGCTTCAAAAGTCAATTCTATATTGAGTGATGCCCTATATTTTCCTGAACACTTTGATGGAGTTTGCATCTAGATTTATTTTATAAGAAGAAAAACATTAAACTTTTAAACTTTATAACATCATTCTTGACATCAACCACTAAATTATTATCCAAGCACTAATAATACATTTATATTTTATTAAAAAGATGGCTATTGTAGATTTGGAGATGTATGTTGTATTTATATAGCCATCTGTTTCGGAGTAAGAAGATAGTACACAATTTTATTTCTCCTTTAGGGAAGGAATTTAAAAATATTTATAATCTTTATTTTTAAACGCTGTTCATATGGTTACTGGGGGAAAGAATTCAGATCCTAAAGGATCAGTCATATCTCCAGTAGTGTTTTCTCTTCAGTTTTCATGTTTTAATGTTATTGCACCTTCTGGATGCTGTATTTTACATGAGGGACAGAATAGTGAGCTACAGATATTTGAAAGGTGTAGACATGAAGGAAGAACTGGCCTGGTTTAGTACAAAGAAGCCAGGGGTGGTTTAGTGAAACTCAAAAGTGAAAACAAACAGAATTCAGAAGGCACTTGAGACTGTCTTTTGCACGGCCTTTGAGACAAGTGAGCTTCTGCAGTCCCTGTGATGTTTAAAAATACCCCTCAAACATTAAGCATATGTGTGTATAGGTAGAAAGCGTCCTGGACCATATTATTGATTTCAAGTCTATGAATCTGAGATCAGCCTCTTGTGTTTATTAGTGGTTAGTGCTTCTGACATGGTAGACATTTTTAGTTTTTAAATCAGAGTAGTTAACAGTCAGTCCCCTTCGCCAGCTTAGTTCATACTGCTATATGTTGTGGAGTCCTTTGGAAATACACTCTGTTTTCCCCTTTTCAGGTAGAACCCAAGGCAAAACCTAAAAAAGAAAAGCTATATTTAAACCTGTAAATCCTGTGGGAGAGGGAGAAAAAGTTTTTATTTGCAGGAATAGACCTTTTTTTTTTTTTTTTTTTCTAGAGTAAGAGTTTTAAGGGAATAGTGTCTTGATGAAGAAACTAATTAGCCATGCAGTGTGAGCCACTGTGTAGCTTGATTTTTCTATTTTGTAGAGAATAGGTATTCCATTTCCCCAGTGCAGCTATGGGAATTTTGTAGATTGGAAAACGCTGTGTTTTGTAGAATCTCAAAACAAAGTCACCCGCTTGCTCTGCTTGGAGCTTCTCATCTCTTGTGTCCCATTTCTGAGCCCTTTGGCTATAAATGTTTTGTTGAGGGGTGGGGGGAATATAGATATCAATTTTAATATTTCACCTCTTAACACGTACCATTTGGTCGTATGATATGAATTCTGCACTCCTGACTCTGTCTTTTTTCCATGATGGCATTTTAACCAGCATATAATTGTGGATGTCAACTGGAAGTCAGAAAATGTACATACCTTCTTCTTTCTCTTGTTGACCTTTTTGGGATATTTAATGTTTTTAGTGGAAACAGTGTCTGAAAGACATCTCATCTGGCTTTTCACATAATCAGAGTAGGATTTAACTGGAGTGGGAAATGTTCAGTTATGCCATTTGGGCCAAAGACTCCCCTCACACCCACACCAAAGGAGGACCTGTTTTAGGATACATGGTACTCTTCACAAATTTAAGTTCCTTTTCAAATTTCTTTTCTAGATCCTGAGGTGACTTCCTTCTAAGTTTTTCCTCCAAAGCTACCAAATAAACCCTAGTAAGTAGTAAGCAAAGCAAGATTCTGAATTCAATTCTACTTAGGATAATTTTGTAGTAATTGTTTTTATAGATATGATGGCTAGCAGCAAAACAATGTTCCTATATTAGAGACACATACATCTATAAATTTCTATGCAGGAAGTAATGTCATATATGCTGCTATAACCCATGTATATTCTTTCTTCTCTACTCATCACTCATTCCAATTCCATGGTTGTTTAAATTCATAAACATATTGGATGTATATTATTGCACATTTTATTTCAGAGCTGAAAATATATTGAGTTATCTGATAACTACCGTGAACTTTTGAGATAAGTTTGAGTAAAATATGTTACCGAAGGAGTAGTAAAATTTTTATCACTCATTGTACACAGAGACTGAAACAAATTTTCCCTCTAAATTTGCCCTCTCTACAATCACAATCTCTTATTGGACCATAACAGCAGAATATATCATTACATGGTTTAGTGCACCATGTCTCAAATTTCAAGGTGCACACAAATCACCCAGGGATCTTGTTAAAATTCAGATTCTGACTTGGTAGAACTGCAGTGGGTCTGAGATCCCAGTGATTCCCGTGCTGCCAGTCTGCAAGCAGCAAGGGGTTAACTTTTCCAGATGAAATTCTGGTCACAATGCTAACTACATTCTGAAAAACTTATACAGACAACTAACAATAGGGCTGGTTGTTAGTAATTCTACCCTTGCTATGAGTGCTCATTAAAACCTTACGTTAAATTTATCATTATGATTTGGACAAAATGAAGAAGTATAGGCATCAAAATGAAGAAGTATAGAAGTCAGGAAGTATAGGCATCTACCTATATGAGCCTATAAACAAAACTGTATCTCATCTGAAATGTGTAATTATCACAGAAGAGAAAGTGACTAAATAAAATTATTTTAACAACATATACCAAAGCTTAAGCTTCTGGAAAGACTACCTAATATTCCATAATAGAATTAGCAAAACAGTTATCAAGCCTATTGATGGCAAGCATTGAAGTCCAGTAAGGGATGTAACAAAACTACAGTCACTGAAGCAGCGTAAAGGTCACTGAAGCAGCATAAAGGAATGTGGTGTCCTCAAGAGTCCTCCATTCAGCAGTGTCCACTAGCTGAGGAATTCAGGATTTAAGTGAAATTGGGTCAGATGCCAAAGAAACCATGTAGTAGAAAAATAAGCATTTTAAAACTAAATCGCAATGTTAGACATTGAATTCTGATGAATGGAAACATCTGGTGAAGTGTTTTCATGACTGGAAAATATCTCAACTCAGAAGGTACCTTGTTTTTAATGTAGTTTCTCAGGACTAATTTTTTTAGTGGCCTATTTTTAGTTAAAGGGGAAAGCTTATAATTAGTAAAACAATCCATCATTGAGTAAATATTAACAGAACTATTTCATGCCCGGTCTTTTGTGCTTTGGGAACACTAAAGAAATAGAAGATATGGTTTGTGTGCTCAAGGTGTTTACACTCTGGTCATGGAAATACAAACACGTGAGAAACAGTGCTCAGCAAAGACGGAGCTCCCCCCACCCCACCAAAATAAACCAAACACTTGAAAACAAATTCTACAGTAGCTTATATAAGAATATATAATAACATATATTTCAGTAACAAATTATAAAATACAATCTAAAAATGATGTAGTTGGTAGTGAGGGCATTTTTGGTTGTGACAGTGACAATGATATAAGGGCAGGACTAGCATTTAGTACACAGAACCATGGTTGCCAGATGCTCTACAACGTGTACTGCTGTGGAAATGCTGCACCCAAATAATTTTCAGCCAAAATGCCCAGGATGCCACCACTGAGAAACAGTGCCAGGATGTCAGAGTTAAGGAAAATCTGAAAAGACTGGAGACATTAAGAGAAGTGTATACATGGTATGTACCTGTCTTTGTCCTTTCTAAATCCTAAAATTCTAAGGGAAAGTGGAACACAAAGGAAGCACAAAGAAGTGAATTTATGTGTGAGACTTTACTAGTTGACCTATCTAAAATTATTTACCAGCTGCAAACTGCTGCCTAAAGTTCATAGTAGAACATTAGAGCTAAAACAGATCTGTATCATTTTACAGATGAGAAGACTGAGATCTGGGGAATTTAAGTGGCTTGTCTTGAGGCACTTAGTTCTGACTTCTATGGGCAGTATGTTTGCATGTATATTAGATAATGTTCTGAAGGTGACTTTAGGCAAGATCTTGGTTCTCATAAAACAAAGCTGTAAGTAAAAAACACATTCTTGCATATATCCTTCTATATGTGTACATATCTTTGCTCTGTGTAGCCACTCTTACTGCCATCTCTGTGTATACACACATACATACACACGCATACTATTAGGGAGAAAATAGAGAAGACAGCAAGCAAAGAGAGGAAAGCATACTTTTAGATTTGACAGATTTAAGTTATAGATGAAGGCAGTTATCATTGGTTATGATTCTAGTGGCAATGATTCTAATTCTTCCTACCTCTCTCTTCTACCCAAAACTCTTGCACATCTATCCTTAATAGCTGAAATTACTTTTATAAGGGAGAAAACTTGTTGTTCTGTAACGCTTAAAGTTCAGATAATTCTGGGAGAGGTAGTACTACGATTTAAGTGCTCAAAAACTTATAAATGACTGATGATTTTTTTATATTGGGAGCAGATTTTGAGTAGGATAAAGCCATCAGGCCCTCCTGGGGTATTGGACAAAGGGAAAAAAACAAATGAAAGAGGTTGTCAAGATTTTTGCTTATTTCATAGTTTTGCATTGGACCTGTGATGGATATTCCTTTCATGAATATCAAAAGAGCATGACCTAGCTACAGCCTGACGCATGATACATATTTGCTGTGGGTTAACCTGGAGTCTTTTAAACCAATTCTTTTCCAGTGTCTGCCTTCAACTAACAGTGTGGAGTGAAGTAGTAGAGAAAATCAGACTCTGAACCCAGTAAAATGCTGATCACCAGAAAATGGGTGATTCAAAGGGACAATTTTCAGACCGAATGAATTCACTTGAAATGAATGCCAACCTTAACTGAATTAAGCTGTGCTCTTTCAAATCCACTGCTGTGAGTTCAGTAGACAGTTGTCTGGATTTTACATAGCTCTAAGCTAGAATCGTAGGTCAAATTGTGACTTTTGGAGCCTCATACACTGTTTGAATTTCTAACAATTTTTACTCAGGTTTGAGTTTGCCAGCAAATGAACAAGTTCCTGTTAATAATGAGTAGACCAAATTAATCGCTTCAGATGAATATCCATATGTGTGGGTGCATCTCAAAGCAAGTTTGAAATTCTAGCTTCTATTGAATTTACTGGAAAAAAAAGTTTATTTTGGTATTTGTGATGATTTCTTCTTTTTATATGTTTTCGAATACCAGGAGACATCCCTGCTTATGTGATTTTTGTTACTTCAGTTTCTAAATGGAACAAGTAGTATGAAAAAGTACAGTCATGGAGAAGACTATTCTTAGTTCTCATTGATATTAGAATTTCTGTCTTGTTTTCACACGATACTGATAGCATAGCTGTCTACTGGAATTTGCCTTGGGCAGAGGTGCCAAAGATATTTTCTTCTGGACCCATGATTTGGGAAAACCATTTTTAACCTGTGGAAGTTCCTTATTTTCCACGAGTTAATGAACAAATCTTTACTGGACTCTTCAAGAGGAGATTCGAAGGGAAAAGTACTTTAGGGGGCTATAAAATGAATATAAGACAGTCCTTGCCCTGTGGAAGAGATAATCAGGTTGTTGACATTAAAGTATCACAAAAAGAATAATTACAGTCTAAGGTATGCAAAATATTGGAGCAGACTAAATTCACTGAAGTGAATTCTTAATAAAGGATTGGTCCGAGTGGGTGGGATTTAATCAACAAGTGCATCTAGGCAAAGGCAATTTTGGAGACAAGTCATGGCTTGGTGGGAGGAAGGTTTTCAGGCTGAGGGCGGTAAGAAAGCATGTGTGAAGGACAGTGAAGCTGACGGACAGTGCGTAGAATGTCTGAGGGTCTCCTGTATCCAGAATGTTCACAGCTCATGGCCTTTGTATTTGGCCAAGTGCCCACATCTTTAAGAATGTATGTAGCTAAGAAATGTAATTTTGAAAACCAATTTGTTTCTATTTAAGCATTGTTTACTGACCTAATTAAATTCCCTTAATGTCATATACTAATTTAGTGTGACTGATTATTTTGACATATTCTAGATACTTTTAAACAAAGAAGACATATGTAAATGTAATGATTGCAAATTATTAATATATTACTATACTTATTAACAGTGTGGGTTTATGTAATCTTATTATTATTTCTCTATTCTTTTTTATACCTTTCTAGGGTTATAGATCTACTTATTTAGATTTCTTCCAGGGAGTTCAGTAATAATATTTTTTGTGTCTTTTTGGGATTTTGTAATCTTTACAGGACCACAAGTAAAAGAATTCCTTCTCAGAACAGCCACGGTTACAGGATCTGAGTTATTGACTGTTGGGGTCCTGGATGCTTTTTTCAAGTCAGAGATTCACATCTGAGTCACGGGTTGGCAGTTAAGCTGAGTTTTCTTTTTAAGGGTTAAATTTCATATGTATTATTAAAATTTAACTTCTTTAAAAAAATGCTTTCCACACTGGTTCACATAGGTTTTCTTTTTAATCTTGTTTATCTCCACCAGATGTGTACTTTGTAATACGTTGCTTAGGCAACATCACCTGCCCTTTAGCCTGTTGCATTACATCCACCCACCTGGTCTGCTGCCATTGGAACATGCTGTGTTGCTTTTCTTTCTACACTCATGCTGCTTGGACCCTCCCCACAGGCCCTGATCATTCATTCCTGTCCTTGATACAGTTCCTTGGTACTTTTTTTCTAGCACTTCTTGGCTTACTCACAGTTCTGTATCTTAAAATCAACCATATTGTATTATATTCATACTTCTTTTATATTATAGCTGCCATTTGGCCTTTATAGTAACTTTTCTCTTTTGAAATCATAATGAACTCATGGTCTTTCAGCAACTCATCTTGTTCTATTTAACCATACTTTTATTTTTCCTTTTGATGCTCGAATAAATAATCACAGTTTGATCGTTGGGAGCTCCTTTAGGCAGATTCCTTTGTCCTTCTAGCACGATCCCTGACATTTTTGAAAGGATGCCAGTTTTCTGGTAACAGCTGGATGTTTCCTGGCTCTTTCACACTTCCTGCACTGTGAACTGGAATCTATTACTTTCCAAAGATTTCTTCCTTTCCTTACTGGAGAACTGGAACATAGGCCAAAATCTGGGCACTAGGGGTGCACATGAAAGTTAGTAGTGGATAAAAGGGCTACTGTTTGGTGGTTGGAAGAGTCTGTGTTTTTGAGGTTTGGGTTCTCAGTGATTTTTTCCAATTTGACATTCCGTACTTCTGTCTCTGAGTTTTTTTAATATATGAGGTTTTATCTTTTACTAAGACCTTTTACTGCACTGACCATAAGCATTTTGCTGTGGGCAGAAAGATTCTATTTGGGGTGGGAAGCATTTATTCAGATTGCTGACAAGTTAATATAAGCATTCAACTGAAGACTTGTACGCAGGGGAGTAGCGCCAGTGTATACTGCGTCCTCCAGAGCCCTCTTTCATTGCTAAGACCCAGGCTGCTCGCTTTTCTCTTCATGCACTCTGGATACTTAAATTTATTCTAAGAGCTCTCCTACCCTCCCCTTTTCTCCCCTCTTACCCCTCTTCTCCCTTCTCCCCTCTTACCCCTCTTCCCCCTTTTCCATTTTCTCTTTCCCTTCCCCCACCCTTTCCCCTTTCCCTTTTCCCTTTTTGAGATAGGGTCTCACTATGTTGCCCAGGCTGGAGTACATGGAGCATAGTGGCACAGACTCTGCAGCTCACTGCAGCTTTGCCCTCCCTGGCTCAAGAGATCTGTCCACCTCAGCCTCCTGAGTAGGTGGGACTACAGGTGTGCACCACCACACCCGCCTAATTTTTATATTTGTTTTGTAGAGACAGGGTTTTTCCACGTTGCCCAGGTTGGTCTCGAACTCCTGAGCTCAAATGATCCACCTGCCACAGCTTCCCAAATGCTGGGACTACAGGTGTGTATCACCATGCCCAGCTAAGTTGATTGTTTTCTACTTTTATTTTGTAGTTTGCTAGTAGTTAGCAAAAATGGTAAACGTGAAATGTTTAAGAATATTTATGGGAAATATTTTAAGTTGAGAACCTTGTTAAATTTTTTTTTTCTCAAAAATTAGGGAAAGGCGGCCCTCTTCTGTCTTAATGATAGAATACTTTAGAGATGTTGGTTTTTCACAGGTGCATAGTTTCCACTGATTTTTATAATTATCAACTGTGCCATAGTCAGATCCATTAAATGAGAGACTACCTGACTCAAAGTATGTATTGTAAGGCCGTTAAGGCATGAAGATGGAGAGAAAGCTGTACTTTGCAGTAGATTCTGTAACAGTTTCTCTTGCTTAAATTGTATAGGTTCAGAAAGCCATCAGAATTTCTAATTGGAGTTCCTCTGTTTCCTGAAGCCAACAAATGACTTTTTTTGCTTTATTGTATTTTCTAGAACTTAAAATACAATGTTAAATCAAAGTGTTTGTGAAAGTGGATGTCCTTGAATTTTCCCTGTTTTTAGGTGAAAAGCATGTAGTTTCTCAGCATTAAGTATGATGTTACATGTAATTTTTTGGTAGATGCTCTCTATCAGTTTGAGGAAGTTTTACTCTGTTTTTAGTTGGTTGAGAGGTTTTATTGTGAATGGATGCTGAATTTATCAAATGCTTTTTTCTGAGTCTATTGAGATGATCATATGATTTTTAAAAAACTGTGTATTAATTGCTTCATAACAAATTATCCCATAACTTAACATCTTAAAACAACATACATTTTTAAAAAATCTTAGTTCCTATGGGTCTCTTGCAGATGCTCCTTAGCTGGCTCAGGGTCTCTTATGAGAGTCCAGTCAAGCAGGAAGCTGGAACTGTGGTTGTCCCTGAAAACTTGACTCACAAGGTTGTTTGCAGGCCCTAGTCTTTCTGCACAGGTGCCTCTCCACAGGGCTGCCTCATGGCATGGCAGCCGGCTTTCCCCAGGTCTGGTGATCTAAGAGGGGATACTCAAGGCAGAGAGAGCACCAAAATAGAAGAAACATTGTTCTTACAATGTTTTCTCAGAAGCGGTATCCTATGATTTTTGCCATATTATATTTATGGGATACAAGTCAACAAATGCAGCCCACACTCAAGAGCTGGGGATTACATAAGAGTGTGAATACTTAGAAGTGGGTGTTATTGGGAGCCATGTTAGAGACTGCCTACCACTGTATTTTAAAATGGTGAATTACAGATTTGTGAATGTTAAGCCAACCTTGCATTCGTGGGATTAGTGTGACATTGTCATGGTTTACTATCTTCTTTATATATTGTTGCATTCAATTTGTTGAAGATGTACCAGTAATTTTTTGCATCTGTGTTCATGAGAGAGATTGATCTGTAGTTTCCTTACAATGTTCTTGTGTGGCTTTGGTATTGGAATGACACTGGCCTTATAAAATGAATTGGGAAGTATATCCTCTTCATCAGTATTTTGAAAGGGTTTCTGTACAATTGAAGTCATTTCTTCCTTTAATGTTTGTTTTAACTTCACCAGTGGTGCCACCTGGCCCTGGCATTATCTTTGTGGTAATGTTTTTGACCACAAATTCAATTCCTGTCATAGACACAGGCCTATTCATGTTATCTATTTTTTTTTTTAACTGAGTGAGCTTTGGTAGTTTTTGTCTTTCAAATAATTGGTTTCATCTAAGTTGTGGAATTTATTGGCACAATGTTGTTTGTAGTATTTGTAGAACATCTGTAGTGATATCACTGCTCCCATTCCTGATAGTAATATTGGCGATGTATATTTTCTACTTTTTTTTCCCCTTATCTGTCTGGCTAGATGTTCATCATTTAAAAAAAACTTCTCTGAAAACCAGCTTTTGGTTTTATTGATTTTTCTTTATTGTTTTCTGTTTTCTATTTTATTTATATCCACTTTCTTATTTATTATTTCACTCTTCTTATCTTGGTTTTTATTTGCTTTATTTATTTATTTTTTTTTTAGTATTTTAAGGTGGAAGCTGAGGTTATTGCTTTGAGACTTTTCTTCTTTTCTCTAGTCATTTAGTGTTACAAATTTTCCTACAGCTAAAGTACTACTTTAGCTGAATCTCACCATTTTCGTATTTTGTGTTTTCATTTTTATTTAGTCCAAGATGCTTTCTAATTGCCTTTCTCTATTAATTTAGTCATCAACTATTTTCTGTCATCCTTATCTTTTAGTTTCTATTTTAAGTAATTTGATTTCAACGTGCCCTTACATTTTTTTTTCTTTCAAATTTTCTGTGTTTGCAGTTCATTGACTTCTCAGGCCCATGTATTTATAATTTAATTGCTTTAGTGATGTGGGTGGTTTCTTATTTACTGCCTTCATGTCCTTAAGAAGAGCACAAAAACCCTTAAAAATATTGCATGCTCCAACATACTTGTAATTCATTTTTACTTTTTGATCATGACTAGAGGACTCTGCCTTGAGTCTTTTAAAAATATCTTCAGCTGTTTTCTCACATGCTAAAAAGTATGATAATATTTTTCTCATTTGACTTAGTTAGAATTCAGCCTGTGCTTAGTAGTTGAGACATACTCATAGGGTTGATGTTTAATGATTAAAAACTTTTTGTTTCAAAAACTTGAAATGGCTTATTTTAATTATACATGCTTTTCTACTTTAGTGGTTTTTAAAACATTACATATGTTGGAATATTTATTATAAAATTCACACAAGAGTGTACCAAAAATTGCTAATCTTGCCCGTTCAATTCCACATGTCTGGAGATATCTGATGTTAATAGTTTGGTGGTGTGTTTTCCTGTATACTTTTCACCATGCTCATACACTCACAAATATCTATATCTATGCATCTGTGTCTGTATTTATATCTGTATCTGTCTATATCTATCCATATACATAGCCGCATTTATACCCCACATGGAGTCATTCTATACATATTAGCTCTGTGTATCTGTGGGTTCTGTATGCACATACTCAACCAACCACGGACCCAAAGTGTGTATTCAAAAACTTCGTATTTTTACCTTAACAGTGTGGGCTTTTCATAAATATCTTCGGTTTTTCTGCTTTTGATAGCATATAGGGATGTGGGAACTTTTTATAAGAAGAAAAGCATTCTAAAAACAATTTTATTTAGAGTTATATTTTCTTTAGAGAGAACAATTAAATTAGTTAGCTTTACAGACAAGCCAGAGGCCATCAAATTATTGAATAAAGACAACAAAGTCTCCAGAGTATCGGGAGAATGACAGGCTTAGAACTAAAGTAAAAAGCAAGGAGCAAAAATCACAGAGACTGAAATAAAATGAGAGGGTGGGGAAGGCTGGGTGAGAAGAGAATGGGTGAAGAAGGAAGAAGAAGGGAAGGAGGTGGAGGTCTAGTGGAATAATGTAAACCAAATTTTGAAATGAATGCTTTTTGGTGTTTTTCTTTTACAATGTTATTTCTTTTTATCCATTAGCTTTGAAATAAAGGAAACCCCCACCATTGTCCTCAGTTCTTCAGTATCTCTAACCATTAGCTCCATTCATTCCAATTTGGAGATGAAATCAAGATGGGGACAGATTTTAAGCATACATATTCATGCATAAAACTTTTAAACAACATAATGCCCTTTCCTTCTCTAGCCTAGGTTAGCTGCTTACACGATGACCCATCAGTTAATGTCCATCTGATTTGCCTATTTTTTGTTTTTTAAATTAAGGCTAGTTACCCAACCTCTTAATGATTCAGAAATAAACCACTTCCAGTCAGATGGTAAAACGTGTGACAGAGTTCAAGAATCATGTTAGGGTACTACTAGCAGCCTGGGCCTTAAGTTTCTCATTTTAGAGGTAGATTTTTTAGTGTAAGCTCTAGTGTGAGATCTAAGTGTAAACACAATGATTGTGAGGATTTTTTTGTACTGTAATTTATGCTGATGCAGCTTTTAGAATGTGGGCTTTTTGGGTATTTCCTGAAACTGAAATTGGCATGCTTTCTAGAGTTATATATTGGCATGTTTAGTGATATTAAAGTTGCAGTGAAGAGTTCTGAATTTAATTTCTTCTTTTCTCAGATATGTGTCACAAAGATGTCTACACGGAACTGCCAGGGAATGGACTCAGTGATCAAACCCCTGGACACAATTCCTGAGGATAAAAAAGTCAGAGTTCAGAGGACACAGAGCACTTTTGACCCATTTGAGAAACCAGCTAATCAAGTAAAGAGGGTGCATTCTGAGAACAATGCTTGCATTAACTTTAAGACCTCCTCCACTGGCAAAGAGTCACCTAAAGTTAGGCGGCACTCCAGCCCCAGCTCGGTAAGTGCAGTCTTTTTGTTTATCACTGGGTAAACAGAAGGAATAGCCTTCTTATGATAGCATGCGGTGCTGGAAGACAGCAGGAAACTTTATCAGTGCCTTATTATGCATTCTCTCCCAGGGTGGTTGAATGTTTTGGAAGAGAGAGAGCAAACTATATATGGACTCCTTATTTATAAGCACTAAGCAAGCAAATGAATGAAATGATTCAACTTATTTTTGGAAAAATCATTTTTCCCCCTTAATTGTTTCTAGTTAGAGGAATTTATAATTAAAAGTCTTTTGTATTTCAAACCCTTGGAGAGGTTATTGAACTTTACTGTGTAGGCAGTAAGGATAGTTTTGAAATTAGCAAATTCACAAGGAATTTCATTGCAGAATAAATATCAAAATTTGTTCACTTGCGTTAATCCAGTTTTTTTTGGGGGGGTACTCCACCAGTCTTTCTCATGTGACTCTGTAAAGTGACAAGTTGAAGTTCTTTTCCAGGACAAAGCCCTGTACTGAATGGAAAATGCTGGAGTAGAAATCTGTGTAGGGTAGATTCAGTAGGACCAAAGGAAAGAAGAGAATGTCCAGAAAGAAGTGTTAGAGGGAAACAGACTTTAGATATAACTAGTGATTTACAAGTTAGAAAGGAACACACCAAGAGAGAATATTCTCTGTTATATTTCTATTCTCAAATACATTTTTTCCTACTTTTTGGCTTAAATTAATATACATTATTTACAATTGTATGATAATGTAAATTTTGGTCAGGGAAACCACAAGTATGCTATGAATAAATTTCCTTCCTTGCACAACTTCTTCATTTTCTTAGTTGTCATTGTCTACTTTTCCTTCATTCAAATTAAGATAATTTTAAACACAATTTGAGGCCTGCAACTATATGACAAAACTGTAAAATGCCTCCAAAACAAATCAGATAATCTATCAGTTTTTCTCCCCCACTGAGATTGCCCTGGCAGTTCTTCATAGTCCTAATTTAATATAGATTGGTTAACCTCTAATCCTATAGTCATAAGGCGTCCTTTTCTGAGAATTTTTTCCTCCTTTTTTAATGTTAAATACCCATTCTCTGGGTTACATGTCTTTCTTGTTCTTGGTTTATTTCATTGTTTTAAAGTACATCCTCGCAGTAGCTTCTTGAGAAAGGGTGATGGGGGGTTTGTCATATGACTATGATTTTATCTGTCGTTGATTACTTGATTAATAATCTGGCCAAGTATGTGATTTTAGTTTAGAAAATAATTTTTTCTTAGACTTTTGAATACCTTGTTTTATTGTTTTCTAGGTGCCTAGATTGTATTGAAATCCCTAGACTATTCTGGTTTCCCAGTTCATCCTTTATCTGCTTTTTTGTTTGTGGAACTTTCTAGGACTTTCTTTTCATCCCTGGTGTCATCCTTTTTCTTGGTATCAATGGGTGTTTTCAATTTTTGAGTTAATTTCTTTCAGTTTCAAAAATTTTCTTATATGTTTATTTAATTTTTTGTAATCTTCTCTTTTACGATAACATTTTTATTAGTTGGATGTTGGCATTATTGGATTGATCTTCTAGTTACCTTTTCTTTTCCCTATTATTTTAAATCTTTTTTTTCCTACCTTCTGGGTTTTTTTAACTTTTAATTTTTAACCCTTCAATTGGATTTTTAATTATACTAATATTTATTTCCATGAACTCTTTCTTATTCTTTGAATGCTCTTTTAAAAAGTATCCTGTTCTATTTCAATGAATAACATATCACTTCATATGTTTCTGAGGATACAAAATGTAGCTTGGGGAATTTTTTTTCCTTTTACATATTCTCTGAATTATTTCTGGATTTCCTTTGAGTTTCTTGTTTCTGTTTATTTGTTTTGGTCTCTGCCTTACCTGTTGAGATTTTTGGTGGGTCTATGTCATGCCTCTTGGAGAGAAACTGTTGGCTGTCAGTTTATGTTATGAGTAATGTACTCAGAAGTTGATTGGAAGCTCTGTGCCTGGGTGGCTTGTCAGTTGGTTGGCTTCAGCATAGGGACTCTTGGTGAAGACCTAGTCGTTTTATTTAAGTACTCTCAAATGTCGCTGTCTCTTGATCTTGTTTTTGTTACTGGGTGTTTCTCACAAAATGGACTTACCCAATTTATTTTTTTTAGGACATATAAACCTAGCTGTCACTATTCTGAGATGATCAAGAAGGGACTGAGGACCCTTCAGTTCTCTATGCCAACTTTCTCATGATTTTTTTTTTTTTCATTCGGTATGACTCTTCAATCTGATATCCACTCTGCCTGGTATCCAAGCCCCAGTTGAATTCTCTGATTCAACCTCTTCAGAGAATAAATCTCTGGCGGGACTAGGAAGGGATAGGGGGCTGGCCGAGGGAGACTGGGGCAAAGACCTCCACCTTAAATTCACTCCAACTAATCATATCATTTGTAGCCCCAACTTGAACTTCAGCTTCCAGTTTGTGAGTATTTTTGGGATTCTGAAGTATGAATTGACTTATTTCTTACTGGCTTATGCCTTGGATCATGTAGGTATCAAGGTTTTTTTTTTTTTTTTTTTTTTTTTTTCCCCACTCATCCTAGGCAATGTGACTTCTCAACCATTTGTGTCCTGTCTTTACATTTTTATTTCTATCTCGTCTCTAGTGTTCTCTTTACTCATTTTGATTGCCCTTATGGGTTTTAATTTTAGTATTGTTTTAGTATGAATTGGTAAGGGGGAGAGATAAATACATGTTTTCAAGCCATCAAGTTTCACTGGAAGTTTTCACAGTTTCTCTATTGTATTTTTTAGTTTCTTTAGATCATCTTGGGCTTACCCTTTCCTGGTTCACCCTGGGATGACTTTTTTTAATATATATTAGGTCATTTATATTACTTTGTGTGGGAACTGCTTTGCTTTCTTTTTATTTTAGGAATTTTTGCTTCAATTCAATGTGCCCTGGAAAAATGTCTTTTCTCTTACCTTATCAAACTGGAAATGGCTTCGTTTTCTCTTTCAGCAGGATGCTATAATATCCTGTTTTTTTCTGAGTCCTTTCTGTTTGCTGCCCTTTTAAAAAATATATTTTTTCTTTTTTTAAAATTATACTTTAAGTTCTGGGGTACATGTGCAGAACATGCAGGTTTGTTACATAGGTATACACTTGCCATGGTGGATTGCTGCACTCGTCAACCTGTCATTTACATTAGATATTTCTCCTAATGCTATCCCTCCCCTAGCCCTGGTGTATGATGTTCCCCTCCCTGTGTCCATGTGTTCTCATTGTTTAACTCCCACTTATGAGTGAGAACATGTGGTGTTTGGTTTTCTGTTCTTCTCTTAGTTTGCTGAGAATGATGGTTTCCAGCTTCATCCATGTCCGCGCAGAGGACATGAACTCATCCTTTTTTATGGCTGCATAGTATTCCATGGTGTATATGTGCCACATTTTCTTAATTCAGTCTATCTTTGATGGGCATTTGGGTTGGTTTCAAGTCTTTGCTATTGTGAACTATGCTGCAGTAAACATACGTGTGCATGTGTCTTTATAGCAGAATGATTTACAATCCTTTGGGTATATACCCAGTAATGGGATTGCTGGGTCAAATGGTGTTTCTAGTTCTAGATCCTTGAGGAATTGCCACACTGTCTTCCACGATGATTGAACTAATTTACACTCCCACCAATAGTGTAAAAGCATTCCTATTTCTTCACAGCCTTTCCAGCATCTGTTGTTTCCTGATGTTTCAATGATCATCATTCTAACTGGCGTGAGATGGTATCTCATTGTGGTTTTGATTTGCATTTCTCTACTGACCAGTGATGATGAGCTTTTTTTCATGTTTGTTGGCTGCATAAATGTCTTCTTTTGAGAATTGTCTGTTCATATTCTTTGCCTACTTTTTGATGTTGTTTTCTTTTTTCTCTTGTAAATTTGTTTAAGTTCTTTGTAGATTCTGGATATTAGCCCTTTGTCAGATGGATAGATTATAAAAATTTTCTCCCATTCTGGAGTTTGCCTGTTCACTCTGATGATAGTTTCTTTTGCTGTGCAGGAGCTCTTTCGTTTAATTAGATCCCATTTGTCAATTTTGGCTTTTGTTGCCATTGCTTTTGGTGTTTTAGTCATGAAGTCTTTGCCCATGCCTGTGTCCTGAATGGTATTGCCAACGTTTTCTTCTAGGGTTTTTATGGTTTTAGGTCTTACATTTAAGTCTATAACCCATCTTGAGTTAATTTTGTATAAGGTGTAAGCAAGGGATCCAGTTTTGGCTTTTTACATATGGCTAGCCAGTTTTCCCAACACTATTTATTAAATAGGGAACCCTTTTCCTATTGCTTTGTTTTTGTCAGGTTTGTCAGAGATCAGATGGTTGTAGATGTGTGGTGTTATTTCTCAGGTCTCTGTTCTGTTCATTGGTCTATATATCTGTTTTTGTACCAGTACCATGCTGTTTTTGTTACTGTAGCCTTGTAGTATAGTTTGAAGTCAGGTAGTGTGATGCCTCCAGCTTTGTTCTTTTTGTTTAGGATTGTCTTGGCTATGCAGGCTCCATATGAAATTTAAAGTAGTTTTTTCCAGTTCTGTGAAGAAAGTCAATGATAGCTTGATGGGGATAGCATTGAATCTATAAATTACTTTAGGCAGTATGGCCATTTTCATGATATTGATTCTTCATATCCATGACCATGGAATGTTTTTCCATTTGTTTTTGTCCTCTTATTTCTTTCAGCAGTGGTTTGTAGTTCTTCTTGAAGAGGTCCTTCATATCCCTTGTAAGTTGGATTCCTAGGTATTTTATTCTCTTTGTAGCAATTGTGAATGGGAGTTCACTCATGATTTGGCTGTCTGTTTGTCTGTTATTGGTGTATAGGAATGCTTGTGATTTTTGCACATTGATTTTTTATCCTGAGACTTTGTTGAAGTTGCTTATCAGCTTAAGGAGATTTTGGGCTGAGATGATGGGGTTTTCTAAATATACAATCATGTCTCTGCAAACAGAGGCAATTTGACTTCCTGTTTTCCTAATTGAATACACTTTATTTCTTTCTCTTGCCTGATTGCCCTGGCCAGAACTTCCAATACTATGTTGAATAGGAGGGGTGAGAGAGGGCATCCTTGTCTTGTGCCGGTTTTCAAAGGGAATGCTTCCAGTTTTTGCTTATTCAGTATGATACTGGTTGTGGGTTTATCATAAATAGCTCTTATTATTTTGAGAAACATCCCATCAATACCTAGTTTCTTGAGAGTTTTTAGCATGAGGGGCTGTTGAATTTTGTCAAAGGCCCTTTCTGCATCTTTTGAGATAATCATGTGGTTTTTGTCCTTGGTTCCGTTTATGTGATGGATTACATTTATTGATTGGCTTATGTTCAACCAACCTTGCATTCCAGGGATGAAGCCGACTTGATCATGGTGGATAAGCTTTTTGATGGGCTGCTGGATTTGGTTTGCCAGTATTTTATTGAGAATTTTCTCATCCATGTTCATCAGGGATATTGGCTTGAAATTTTCTTTTTTTGTTGTGTCTCTGCCAGGCTTTGCTATCAGGATGATGCTGGCATCATAAAATGAGTTAGGGAGGATTCCCTCTTTTTCTGTTGTTTGGAATCGTTTCAGAAGGAATGGTACCAGCTCCCCTTTGTACCTCTGGTAGAATTCGGCTGTGAATCCTTCTGGTCCTGGACTTTTTTTGGTTGGTAGGCTATTAATTACTGCCTCAATTTCAGAACTTGTTACTGGTCTATTCAGGGATTCTACTTCTTCCTGGTTTAGTTTTAGGAGGGTGTATGTGTCCAGGAATTTATCCATTTCTTCTAGATTTTTTAGTTTATTTGCATAGAGGTATTTATAGTATTTTCTGATAGTAGTTTGTATTTCTGTGGGATTGGTGTTGATATCCCCCTAATCATTTTTTACTGTGTCTATTTGATTCTTCTCTCTTTTCTTCTTTATTAATCTGGCTAGAGGTCTATCTATTTTGTTGATCTTTCAAAAAACCAGCTCCTGTATTCAGTGATGTTTTGAAGAGTTTTTCCTGTCTCTATATCCTTCAGTTCTGCTCTCATCTTAGTTATTTCTTGTCTTCTGCTAGCTTTTGAATGTATTTGCTCTTCCTTCTCTAGTTCTTTTAATTTTGATGTTAGGGTGTCAATTTTAGATCTTTCCTGCTTTCTCTTGTGGGCATTTAGTGCTATAAATTTCCCTCTACACACTGCTTTAAATGTGTCCTGGAGATTCTGGTATGTTGTGTCTTTGTTCTCGTTGGTTTCAAAGAACATCTTTATTTCTGCCTTAATTTCGTTATTTACCCAGTAGTCATTCGGGAGCAGGTTGTTCCGTTTCCATGTACTTATGTGGTTTTGAGTGAGTTTCTTAATCCTGAGTTCTAATTTGATTGCACTGTGGTCTGAGAGACTATTATGATTTCCATTCTTTTGCATTTGCTGAGGAGTGTTTTACTTCCAGTTATGTGGTCAATTTTAGTGTATGTGTGATGTGGTGCTGAGAGGAATGTATATTCTGTTGATTTGGGGTGGAGAGTTCTGTAGATATCATTTAGGTCTGTTTGGTCCAGAGCTGAGTTCAAGTCCTAGATATTTTTGTTAATTTTCTGTCTAATTGATCTGTCTGATATTAAAGTTTCCTACTATTGTTTGGGAGTCTAAGTCTCTTTGTAGGTCTCTAAGAACTCGCTTTATGAATCAGGGTGCTCCTGTATTGGGTGCATATATATTTAGGATAGTTACCTCTTCTTGTTGCATTGATCCCTTTACCATTAGTAATGTCCTTCTTTGTTTCTTTTTAACTTTGTTGGTTTAAAGCCTGTTTTATCGAGTGCAACCCTTGCTTTTGTTGCTTTCCGTTTGGTTGGTAAATATTCCTCCATCCCTTTATTTTGAGTGTATGTGTGTCTTTGCACATGAGATGGGTCTCCTTAATACAGCACACTGATGGGTCTTGACTCTGTCCAATTTGCCAGTCTGTGTCTTTTAATTGGGGCATTTGACCTATTTACATTTTAGGTTATTGTATTGTTAGGTGTGAATTCGATCGTGTTATTATGATGCTAGCTGGTTATTTTGCCCATTAGTTGATGCAGTTTCTTCATAGCGTTGATGGTCTTTACAATTTGGTATGTTTTTACTGTGGCTGGTACTGGTTGTTCCTTTCCATGTTTAGTGCTTCCTTCAGGAGCTCTTGTAAGGCAGGCCTGGTGGTGACAGTGTCTCTCAGCATTTGCTTGTCTCTAAAGGATTTTATTTCTCCTTCCCTTATGAAGCTTAGTTTAGCTGGATATGAAATTCTGGGTTGAAAATACTTTCCTTCGAGAATGTTGAATATTGGCCTCCACTCTCTTCTGGCTTGTAGGGTTTCTGCTGAGAGATCTGCTTTTAGTCTGATGGGCTTCTCTTTGTGGGTAACCTGAGTCTTCTCTCTGGCTGCCCTTAGCATTTTTTCCTTCATTTCAGCCTTGGTGACTCTGAGGATTATGTGTCTTGGGGTTGCTCTTCTTGAGGAGTATCTTTGTGGTGGTCTCTGTATTTCCTGAATTTGAATGTTGTCCTGCCTTGCTAGGTTGGGGAAGTTCTCCTGGATGATATCCTGAAGAGTGTTTTCCAACTTGGTTCTATTCTCCCCGTCACTTTCAGGTACATCAGTCAAATATAGATTTTGTCTTTTCTCACAGTCCCGTATTTCTTGGAGGCTTTATTTGCTTCTTTTCACTCTTTTTTCTCTAATCTTATCTTCTTGTTTTATTTCATTGAGTTGATCTTCAATCTCTGATGTCCTTTCTTCCCCTTGATCGATTCAGCTATTGATACTTGTGTATGGTTCACAAAGTTCTTGTGCTATGTTTGTCAGCTCCATTAGTTCATTTATATTCTTCTCCAAACTGGTTATTCTAGTTAGCAGTTCATCTAACCTTTTTTCAAGGTTCTTAGCTTTATTGCATTGGGTTAAAACACGCTCCTTTAGCTCAGAGGAGTTTGTTATTACCCACTTTCTGAAGCCTACCTCTGTCAATTCGTCAAACTCATTCTCCGTCTGGTTTTGTTCCCCTGCTGGCGAGGAGTTGTGATCCTTTGGGAGAGAAGAGGTGTTCTGGTTTTTGTAATTTTCAGCCTTTTTGCGCTGGTTTCTCCCCATCTTCATGGATTTACCTACCTTTGGTCTTTGATGTTGGTGACCTTCGGATGGGGTCTCTGAGTGGACATCCTTTTTGTTGATGTTGATGCTGTTCCTTTCTGTTTGTTAGTTTTCTTTCTAACAGGCGCTTCTGCTGCAGGTCTGCTGGAGTTTGCTGGAGGTCCAGTCTAGACCCTGTTTGCCTGGGTATCACGAGCAGAGGCTGCACAACAGCAAAGATTGCTGCCTGTTCCTTCGTCTGGAAGCTTCATCCCAGAGGGTCACCCACCAGATGCCAGCCAGAATTATCCTGTATGAGTTTCCGTCGGTCCCCACTGAGAGGTGTCTCCCAGTCAGGATACATGGGGTTCAGGGACCCACTTGAGGAGGCAGTCTGTCCCTTATCAGGGCTTGAACACTGTGCTGGGAGATCCGCTGCTCTCTTTAGAGCTGTCAGGCAGGGATGTTTAAGTTCTGCTGAAGCTGCGCCCACAGCCGCCCCTTTCCCCCGTTGCTCTGTCCCAGGGAGATGGGGGTTTTATCTCTAAGTCCCTGACTTGGGGCTGCTGCCTTTCTTTCAGAAATGCCCTGCCCAGAGAGGAGGAATCTAGAGAAGGAGTCTGGCCACCAGCGGCCTTTGGCCTGGCCTTGCTGAGCTACAGTGGGCTCTGCCCATTTCAACCTTCCCGATGGCTTTGTTTACACTGTGAGGGTAAAACCACCTACTCAAGCCTCAGCAAAGGCGATTCTCCCACCCCCACCTAGCTTAAGCGTCCCAGGTCGACTTCACACTGCTACGCTGGCAGCGAGAATTTCAAGCCAGTGGATCTTAGCTTGCTGGGCACCGTGGAGGTGGGACCTGCCGAGCCAGACCACTTGGCTCCCTGGCTTCAGCCCCCTTTCCAGGGGAGTGAACGGTTCTGTCTCCCTGGCATTCCAGGTGCCACTGGGGTATGAAAAATAAACTGCTGCAGCTAGCTCGGTGTCTGCCCAAACGGCTGCCCAGTTTTGTGCTTGAAACCCAGGCCCTGGTGGCCTAGGCACCGGCGGGAATCTCCTGGTCTTCCGGTTGCAAACACTGTGGTAAAAGCACAGTATCTGGGCCAGAGTGCACTGTTCCTCCCGGTACAGTCTCTCATGGCTTCACTTGGCTGGGGGAGGGAAATCCCTTTACCCCTTGCGCTTCCTGGGCAAGGCGATGCCCTACCCAGCTTTAGCCCTCCGTGGGCTGCACCAACTGTCCAACCAGTCCCAGTGAGATGAACCGGGTACCTCAGTTGGAAGTGTAGAAATCACCTGCCTTCCGTGTTGATCTCGCTGGGAGCTGCAGATGGGAGCTGTTCCTATTTGGCCATCTTGCCAGCAAATCCTGTCTGCTGCCTTTTTGTTCTCTCCCCTGTTGTGATAAGAAGGGGTACTTTATTATGTTTTTGTTTTTTTTTTTTTTTTTTTTTTTTGGTAGAAAGGTTAATTTCCACTGGATTCTGAATTGGGCAGAAAATGGAAACATTAACACTTTTTGCATAACGCCATTTTACATCCCCTGCAGCAGTGTAAAGATTTGATCAGTTAATTCCCATGGGAAGCATGGGAAAACAAGGGAGCCTTATAGACACGGGTGTTATTTTTAACAATGCTTAGAGGATGTAACAATGACTGATAAGCATCAAAGGAAGACCCTGTTTCCTTAAGGGTCACCATGATTTATGTCATACTTTTATTTTATCATTATTTCTTTTAAAATATTAGTTATCTTTTATAGGCTCCAAGAGTAGAGCTGAAAAGGAAGGAAAATGTGATAGAAGTGTGGCATTGCAGCCACTGTTTTAATGAGGAAAGCATTGTTTTTTGGAAATACTGTGGTAGAAACTATTTTAAAATATCATGCCTTCCCAGCCGTATACATCTATATGCTCTTCACATACAGGCCATTATATATTAGGAGCCTTGACTGAAATCAAGGAACCAAGAATGCCTTGACCTCAGTGGCCATCATGCTAATGTAACTGGCTGATTGGTTTTTTTCTTCAGATAGTGGCACTTTAAAATTCACGCAAAATATAAAGAATGAGGTTTTATTTATAGTGGTATATTTTAAGAGGGTGTTTAAGAGGTTTTTAAATTTGTTTCAGATGTATATTGAGTGCCCACTTTTCCTAGGACTAGTTCCTGTGTGGTGTTTAATACCGTCACTGATGTGACAAACCTTCCCTCCCCTATTCCTGCCACCTCCTCTAACCCAGCTGTGCTCCTCAGTAGCTGCAGTTCTTGGGAGTACTACAGGAGATTTCCTGTCTTGCTGGACCAATTTAGAAGGGATTTCATTGAGTTATGCTGTCATAAGCTGATCTTAAAGAGGGCATATTTTCAGAAACTCATATTTAGGTTAAGGTCCTCTCTACATTCCACAAATTGCTCCAAATTTACCTCTTTTCATCACCATAAAAATCTATATCCCATGATAGGCAGGCCTAATCTGGGAGATGTGGGAGGAGGGTGCAAACCTGCAAATGAGAGTTTCACTTCTGTTTTTAGATACTTGTTCTTAAGGTGTGGTTGGTGTGTCATCTTGGCGTTACTTCCTCTTCTGGGGAGTGGAAAATTCCCAGATTAGAACCAAGCCCCCTTGACAGGTTGTTACCATGTGTGGTGTTTGGATCCATACCTCTGCACAGCACCTAGATCTATTTTATAACCAAGTTACCTATCAATGATGCATTACCTTAGTGTGGCTGTAATAGGGCTATCAATGCTGGGTGATAAAGCTTGTTCTGGAGATCAAAGGCAAAATAAAAATTAGCCCAGTCAGGTTTGACTTTAAATCCTTATTTAATGGAGTCACGTGGTTCTGATTGAATCCTTCCTCTCTCACCCTCATACCCACTCTCACAATTACAGTATAATGTGCTGGAGAAGTGATTCTCCATTGTGGTTTTCCTCAATTCAGGGGGTACTCAACAATCTTAAGCAAGGGGTTATGTGTGAGGGTTAAAATCAGTTTTCAATGAAGTCAGTATGAAGCTATGGACATTCTTACTGGATATCAGGGTATCATTACAGTGAACACTGAAGTATACTCATGAAGTTTATAAAAATTGCAGTTCAGACACCCATCCTTGCTTCTGTGAGTGGGGTTTCAATAGAAGATAGACCGAAGCATGTTTAATATTTCCTCTATGTGGGTGAGGGTTAGGACTCTGTGTGAATATTCCACCAGTGTAATAGTAACAAAGAAAATAATTCTCAATTCTGATAATCTTGGCTTGAATTCTAGTTCTGCCAGTAACTATAGGATTTTAGATGAGTTACTTTATTTTTCCAGTCTATAAATTATTCATGTTCAAATGGGGATAGTAATAGAACCAACCTCATGGTGGTATTATAGAGATTAAGTTTATGTAATACATATAAAATGATTAGCTTAAGGTCTGATACATAATTACTTGATATTAGCTAGTTGTTATTATTATTACACAGACAATGAACTAGAGCTGTCAAGGGTTAAGAACACCTCTATGGCAGGGTGACAAACATTGTTCAGCTGGAACATTATGTGCACTTTTCATTATCCATGTCAGTGTTCCCCTCCGCTGGCCCAGATAATTGACGGTTCTCTATACTTTTATTCAGTTTTTTAAAAAAGTGTTAACATCATCTCATTAAATTTCACATCTCTATGCAGTTAGTGTCTGTTAGAAATTGCTGATTAGCCCTCTGTATTTCCACGTCTCTAAAGTGGTATCTCAAGCCTACACTCTAAGTAGGGAAGCGATAAGCAGAGAATAGTTGTCCCATAAAGCTGTTTCTCATCCATCCACACACCTGACATCAAAAAGCCAAAGATAATGTTTAAGGTTGACTACACCTTGGTTTGATCCAGTATCTTTATTTAAATGTGATGATTTAATAAAGTTGCAAGGAAAAAAAGACAAAGGACTCCACTTTAATTATAAACAAAAATCTCTCCTTCTGAATTATTCTTTTTTTTTTACTTATTTGATGGGAAGAATTTTATTATTGACCTCTTTAAATATTTGGCATTTGGATTCTTTATTTATGTGTACAGTAATTACAGATCAGACCATTTCTGCATACTTAAAATAGGAGACTCACTTTATAAGAATCTAACTCTCAAAGCGGAGACTGTCTCTTAGATGCATCCTATTCCATAGGACTGTTGTTTTGTAGACTAGGAAAAGTTTTAGAGAGAATTACATGCCTTTGATTCTTCCTATGGAGTCAGCATGATTGATTTGTAAGTTACAGTGTATTTCCACAATGTCTACCTGTCAGTTTCACAGGGCAGATAATATTGATTTTTTTACCACAAAATGTGGCAAAGTATTAATTTTCTGCCATTGTAGTGTTAACAGAATATAGAATACAACCGTAGCAGTTAATGCATCCAAACCCAGTTAGTTAGATAGACTACTTTGTACCATTGGCATCTTCCTTTACTAAATCTTTCTTGTGAATGAATGGAGATTGTTTTTATTAAAATTTTTTTTGTTTTTCTAATTTCCTCAGTTCAGTTTTTTCAAGTAGTAAGTTTAATATGGTCTATGTCTTAAAAATAACTACATTAACTCTTTTATACAAAACTATCTATGTAGAGTGAATATATCGTTTTTAGAAAATTATTTGTGCCTTTCCAGAAAGAGAAAATTTTGGCTTCCTGTTCTCTTGCCAAGTGGTGACTGTGTCTTATACTTACTCTAAGTAGTCATTAGCAGTTTATCTCCTAATAAGAATAAAAAGGTAATTTTCCGCTGCTGTGTTTTTCTTTAACTTAGATTGCATTCATTCTTAAAGGAGCACAAAAGCAAACACACAGACCTCTCATTCTGATTTTAAATAATTTAGAGTGGAACTGTGAACACAATATTTTCCCCATTGAAGATCATTTTATACTGAAGTTTAATATAGGTTTTTAAATTTCTATTTAAAACTTGGGCTCAGGAGGGTGATGGTAAAGTGTGACATTCACAAGCTGTTTCCTGGTGATGAAAAATGCATGAGAACATAACCCACACAGGACTAGTCAGGCGACTTTGAATGTAATTTTCCATTAAATTTTACTTGATTTAACTCAACACATGGTTTGTATCTTACAAATTTCTTGAAGAAAGAAATAGGTGGTCCTAAGTGAATGTAATGCCTAAAGAGCTCATCATTGTAATCATAGTTTAAATTACGTGGAACCAAGTTAAATTCCTAAAAAAAAAAACTTACACCCTCTCCTCCCTTCTTCTCCTCCGTTTCTTTCTATATTAATTTTTGAAATATCTTTGTCCTTCATATACATATACATATATATGTGTATGTATGTGTGTGTGTATATATATATATATATAGAGAGAGAGAGAGAGAGAGAAAGAAAGAAAGAGAAAGAGTGTGTGTGTGTGTTATGGGCTGAATGGTGTTCCCTTAAAATTCATATGTTGAAGTCCCAGCCCCCAGTACCTCAGAATGTAACCGTGTTTGAAGGTAAGGTTTTTAAAGAGGTGACTAAATTAAAATTAGGTCATTGGGTGTGACCCTAATATAATATGACTGGTGTCCTTGCAAGAAGTGTAGAGACACCAGGGATCCCATCAACCAGAGGGAAGGCCATGTGAGGACACAAGAGAAGGTGGCCATCTGCAAGCCAACGTGAGAGGACTCAGGAGAAACAAACCCTGCCAAAACCTTGATCTTGGACTTCTAGCTTCCAAAACTGTGAACAAATAAATTTTTGTTCTTGAAGCCACCAAGTATGTGATGTTTTGTTATGACACCTCTAGCAATCCATACATATGTATAAAATAAACCCTTGTTATTTGGTTCGGATTTTTTCTTTAAACACTGTTAATTTGTTTTCTCATACTGAGTGCTAGCAAAATTTGTGCTGCTAGTTTTGTTTTCGCATACTGAGTGCTAAATGGGAGCAGATTACTTAGATGACTTTAAGGCAAAATATTTAATTGAAATTCAGTGTATGGTCTTGGGCAAATCGGTGTTTCTGGGAGGTTTTCATTTTTATATATTTATATTAGAGTAAATGATGCCGACAGTGTTATGTAGCTCTAGGAGCTCTGATTTTGTGAGGGCAAGAATTCTATTTTTGGTCTATATTTCATTATAAAATTAGTAATCGTGGAGCTTGAGGAGGAATTGACCCCACATTGAATGCTTGGTTAGGAAATGGGTTACTATTGTGTCCAGCTGTGCAGATTGAGTACTTGACTCTGCAAGTTTTCTTGAAGCACTTACTAATTTTCCAGCAGTTCCCTCAACATTTGCCACAGTCATTCTTCCATTGAAGGTGCCACTGTCTAGAGATAGGCTGGATTAATAGTTGAGACTCTCAGAGATGAACTTGTTTCTTCTCTTTTTATTAGCATTAATGATGAGTGAGAGTAGTTGCCTGATAATACCTCCTCAGTCTGCACAGCTTTAGGCTACCTTGTGCTGTATACACCTGGAAAGATCTGACTTTAGATTTTGCAAAAATCTGTTTAGTTCCACACATAAATTAAGTTCTTTTTCATTACACAGAATGAGGAAACAACCTCATGGAAGTTTATGTGCAGTGGGTTGACTTCAACCATTGAGCCTTTAGGATATTTACAGGTGAATTGGGTAGTAGAAAATTTTAATAAGTACCTGTTTTCTACAATCTCTGTGGCATTGATTTTAAGCCCTTAACATTTGGACATATTTAGAGACATATTTGTTATTGTAAGGATTAACATAATAGGTTACTATTTTATGGAAGAGATTAGTATCTAAAGCACAAATGCTTGTTAATAACTGCCAAATAGTAGAAGTTAGGTGGTTTCCTGGCTTGTTCTTGCATTTAAAAGTAATGGATCAAATATTTCACCATTTAATATGAGGTTTGTTACAGGTTTCTATAGAAATAATATTGAATTTGGAACCTTTCCTTTGTTACTAGGTTACATAATTTTTTGATTTTATTTCAGATACACAGTATATTGAATTTTAAAAATTGTTTTTCAGGATTTTTCTCTTATGTAGTGAAATATATTAGTAATTTTTTTGAGGTTGAACCATTTTTGAATTCATGAAATAAATCTCATTTGGCCATGGTATATTATTCTTGTAGTACATTTGCAGAAATTAATTTTTAAAATATTTCTTAGAATTTTTGCTCCTACGTTTGTGATACTTGGCCTTTTGTTTAATTAGTTAGTTAATTTTGGTAATGGGGTTTTGCTAGTTAAAAGCATTTTATATTTTTATGCTATCTGCTTCATACAACTTAGTATATCTGTTTCTTAAATTTTAGTGGAAGTAGCCCTTAGAAGATTGTATTTTTAAGATTAATTCTTTAAATTTATTCTGTTTATTGTGTCTTAGTTTTTTTGTATTTTGCCTAAGTCAATTTGGGTAATTAATTTTTTCTAGAAAGTATGTACTAAATTTTGAATATTTTGGTATAAAGCTGTTCATAGTGTTCCAGGTTAATTAATGAAAACAAAAACATTCGTTCTTAAACTGAGTTATGTTCTCTTTGTATTTCCAGTGTTTATTTAGTTCTCTTTTTAATGAGACTTTCCAGATAATTATCTATTTTAATGGTCTTTACAAACAGCATTTGGTTTTATTAATCATGTTTATAATACTTTTGTCTTATATTTTACAGATATCTTTTATTGTCTTTATTAATCTCTTCCTACCGTGTTCTTTGTTGCTTCTTTTCTAGCTGCCATTAAAAGTCTACGTCATACTGCTTTATTGTTTTCTATTATATGCATATATTTAAATTTTCTTTTATGTATTGGTTTGGCTGCATGCCATAGGTCTTAAATGGTCATGCTCTCATTGACACATATTTATGAATTTTAAGTTTTGATTTTTTTAAACCCATGTTATTAAACTATTCAGCTTTAATTTTTTTATTAAAAAAAACCATTTATTGTGTATATTTAAGATACAAAGATTCAGTATCCCCTATCGGAAATGCTTGGTACGGAGGTATTTTGGCTTTAAGATTTTTTTGGATTCTGGAATATACATGAGATATCTTAGGAAGGGGACCCCAAGTCTAAACATTAAACTCACTTATGTTTCATATATAGCTTATATGCATAGCCTGAATGTAATTTTATACAATATTTTAAATAATTTTGTGCATCTATCACATGAGGTCAGGTGTGGAATTTTCCACTTGTGGCATCATGCTGATGTTAAAAAAGTTTCAGATTTTTGGAACATTTTGGTTTTAAGGTTTTTGGATTAGGGATTCTAACCTATATAGCGTGGTGGTATGGGATACATATAGATAGTAAAATGATTACTGTAGTGAAGCAAATTAATATATCTATCATCTCATATAGTTACCCATTTTTTGTTGTTGTGGCAAGAACAGCTAAAATCTACTCATTTAGCAGGAATCCCAAATAGAGTACAATGTTGTTAATTATAGTCTTAATTTCTAATTTAATTGCATTGTGTTCAGAAAAAGCAACTTGAAATGTTTTTGCAGGTTTCAATATTGAGCTCATCTTTGTGACCTAATCTATGATTTTTTTTGGTGAATTTTAGATGTGTGCTTGAAAGAATATAAATATTTGAATACATATATTAATTAAGCCGCTGTTTCTAGTATTTGAGCCCCATATATCCCTTAATTATTAGTTACTTGCTTGCTCTGTCGATTAGTAGTGTATGCTTGTCTTTCATTATCACTTCTTTCTCACTTTATTGCTACCAACAATTGTTTGATACATTTCAAAACTATGTTATTTGGCCTTTACTAGTTTACTAGTTTATTAGACTTCTTGGTGGATTTTTAACATTCATTTTTTATGGGAGATATTAATTTAATCTATTTATTGTTTTGTAAATTCTGTTTTGTCTGCTATCAATACTACTATAGGTATTATTTTAAAAAATGCTTACTGGGCTATATTTTCCCCTTCTTTATTTTCAGATTTACTCTTTTTTAATCTCTTCTTAATAGCATATTGCTAGATTTTCTTTGTTTTTTTTATTTTTTAATCTGAGAGCTTTTCCTTTAATAGGGGAAGTTGATTCGTGTATGTTTATTGTAATCATTGATATGTTTGGATTTAACTTTATTCTTTTTTTTTAAATTATTTATTTTTATTGATCATTCTTGGGTGTTTCTCGCAGAGGGGGATTTGGCAGGGTCATAGGACAATAGTGGATGGAAGGTTAGCAGATAAACAAGTGAACAAAGGTCTCTGGTTTCCTAGGCAGAGGACCCTGCGGCCTTCCGCAGTGTTTGTGTCCCTGGGTACTTAAGATTAGGGAGTGGTGATGACTCTTAAGGAGCATGCTGCCTTCAAGCATCTGTTTAACAAAGCACATCTTGCACTGCCCTTAATCCATTTAACCCTGAGTGGACACAGCACATGTTTCAGAGAGCACAGGGTTGGGGGTAAGGTCACAGATCAACAGGATCCCAAGGCAGAAGAATTTTTCTTAGTACAGAACAAAATGAAAAGTCTCCCATGTCTACTTCTCTCTATACAGACACGGCAACCATCTGATTTCTCAATCTTTTCCCCACTTTTCCCGCCTTTCTATTCCACAAAACCGCCATTGTCATCATGGCCCGTTCTCAATGAGCTGTTGGGTAGACCTCCCAGACAGGGTCATGGCCGGGCAGAGGGGCTCCTCACTTCCCAGTAGGGGCGGCCGGGCAGAAGCGCCCCTCACCTCCCGGATGGGGCGGCTGGCTGGGCCGGGGGCTGACCCCCCCACCTCCCTCCCGGACGGGGCGGCTGGCCGGGCAGAGGGGCTCCTCACTTCCCAGTAGGGGCGGCCGGGCAGAGGCGCCCCTCACCTCCCGGACGGGGCGGCTGGCCGGGCAGGGGGCTGACCCCCCCACCTCCCTGCCGGACGGGGCGGCTGGCCGGGCGGGGGGCTGACGCCCCCACCTCCCTCCCGGACGGGGGCTGACCCCCCCACCTCCCTCCCGGACGGGGCGGCTGGCCGGGCAGAGGGGCTCCTCAACTTTATTCTTATTTTATAAAATTTTACTTAGCATGCTTTCTTATTGAATATGCCTTCTCCTCTAACCTCTCACTCCTTACCCTCTTCCTCTTTCATTGCATTTTTTTTCCATTCCCCTCTCCCCAATTTGTTTGGGATTTGTATACCTTATTTATATCAATTTACTGATTACCTTTTAAAGGTTAAGAAACATCCTAAAACATATGCATTTGGAGTTTCAATCTGTATCTGCAATATATTCTGATTTATTCAAGAAAGCTCAGTGTGCTTTTATTTCTCCTTTCCTACTGTTCCTTGCCTTTTCCCCCATCACTCCAACTACATCTTATATTGAGATAATTTTTTGTCTAGATTTTTTTCTGTGGGTAATAAAATTGTTGTGTTTCCATAATTCACTTGAGGGACCGTCTTGAGTATAGTATTAATTATGCAAAATTATTTTTCCTTTTAATTTTGAAAATATTGCTTAACTGTCTTTTTGCACCGATTACAATCTATGACAATATGCTTGCTGAATAATTTTTCTATTTAGATGTAACCTCTCCCTGAAGTTTTCTGGGAGAGTTCTGTTCAGCCATTGAGCTTATTACTTTTTTAACCTCTGAGGTTCAAGCAGTTCTCCTGCCTTAGCCTCCCGAGTAGCTGGGACTACAGACTTGTGCCACCACGCCCAGCTAATTTTTGTATTTTTAGTAGAGATGGGGTTTCACCATGTTGGCCAGGATGGTCTCGATCTCTTGACCTCGTTATCTGCCTGCCTCTGCCTCCCAAAGTGCTGGGATTACAGGTGTGAGCCACCGTGCTCAGCCTATTTAAAGTTATCCTTACCTTTGCAGTGTTAACTTGCCTTCCAAGGTTTTAGCTTATCTGCCCACTGAATTTTATCCATCTCTTTCAGGATATTGATTTTCCTAAAATGATTTGTGATTTTTGGTTGTATACTCATATTTGTACTTGAGAATCACTGTCAGCTTATTTTATTTTCTGTAAATTTTCTCTACTGATTGTGTGAAAGGGATTACAGCTTGGGGGATGGGGAGACATTGCTTTTTCTCTGGGTATTGGCTATTTGAGTCCTTGCTCTGCTCAGATACCACACTCTAAGCTGTCTCCTGTGCAGATGCCTCCACAGCTTGCTTGGGAGGACACTGCAGTCTCAACTGTTTATGTGTTGATTAGTCTCATGTTCACCTAGAGGTTCTTGCTTCTTTTATTTAATAGTCTTCCCCTACATGGTCAGGCTTTTCTCTGAAGTTTTGATTCTGATTACCTTCTTTCAGAATTCTTCAAAATTTCTGATTAGATATTGGCACTCTTTTTTGTTTTCTGCTTCTAATTCTGATTTATTGTTTTTGAAAAATAACTTTTAAGTCATGATGGGTATTTTGGGCGGGAAGAAAGTAAGAAACATGTATTCAACTGGCCACATAAAATCCCAATAAATAGTGGGAGTCAGAATCATTGCCCACATATTGTGTGTTTTTTGATAAGTGATACAGGTGTATATTCAAAAGTAGTGTTCAAGCCCAACTTGAAGAATACAAGTTCTAAACTTCTGAAGTTGGTTATTTATAAAGTACCACAAATATTAGCAACTTTTTATGAATTATATGTATATTTATATTGGAATAAATCTCTTTAATAAGATATTTTTCATTCCTTATATAATTATCATTTTCTAATATGCTTTGGTATTACCCTTTTATATAATAGCAACAGTATAATAATAGATCATGTCTTATTGAAATAGAAGGTGAATGCTTCTCCACCATGGAGGACAACACTCCCCTTTTCTTGTTCCATAGTTAAAGTTGGGGTGGGAGTTGAGTACAATAAGATTGATGAGGTCACTCTCTCTTAGCATTTTTTTTGGTCCTGTTGGGAAGTGACCTGTCTTAAGAGTTGTTTTGTGGCAGCTATACCTTAAGGATTGATTTATGTATATATAAGAGAGTTCCATTTTGTATTAGTGATAGCTGAGTGATACATCTTCTGATTATCTGTTTGAATTATCACTAAAAGGTATCAGAAGAGTACCTTTATATAACTGAATATTATACCATCATGATTTACAATGGGATACAGTAAATATTTTCAGCTTTGTCAGCCATATGATCTGTATTGGAACTACAGCTGTGTTGTAGTTTGAAAACCATGAAACAATATGCAGGTGAATGACCACGACTGTGTTTCAGTAAAACTTTATGAACACTAAAATTTGATTTTCATATTATTTTCACATATCATGAAACTTTATTCTTGTTTTGCTTTGCTTCCTTCAACCATTAGAAAAGGTAAAAACTATTCTAAACTTATGGGATATACAAAAACAGGTGGTGGGCTGGATTTGACCCATGGGCCACAGTTTGCCAGCTCCTAATTTAGAAGATGGTATAATAACATGTAAAGTGTTCATAATTGATTGAATAAAAAAAGGGAGGGGCAGGTTTAAAAACAGTAGATATAGTGCAATTTCATTTATGTAAGAAAGCAATCATCAGCTTACAGATAGCACTGGAAGAACAGCTATCAAAATATTAACAGTGGTTTCCTGGTTAGCTTATGGGAATAATTTCGTTCTACATTGTGTTTATTTGCATTTTTTTTTAGTTTTGTATCCTGTTTATTATGTTGTTTTGAAAAATAAACATGTATGCCAGAAAAAACAGTTATTTAAAAAGTGACAGAGAATCTGTACATTTTTAGCAAAATCAGGGTATTTGTTGTTAATTAATTTGATACAATCTGTTTTGTTTACCCTGTGCTTCATTTTTAGCCAACAAGTCCCAAATTTGGAAAAGCTGACTCATATGAAAAGCTGGAAAAACTAGGGGAAGGATCTTATGCTACAGTATACAAAGGGAAAAGCAAGTAAGTTCATTATTTTTGGAATATTTCACATGTACAGTGTATCTGCCCTCTTATTACTAAATAGCATTTTATTTAAATAATTATTATTTAATATACAATAGATTTTCCTCCCTCACGGTATCCTTTTTTTTTTTTTTTTTTGGCAAGTGTGTAAAACTCATTGGAATTGGTGTACCCTGCTAGTAAACAGTTTTTCAGACTGTTCAATTTATTTTTCTGTTTAATGCGCCTCCCCACAACACTGCTTTCTCTTTCAAAGGAGTTGGAACCGTCTAATGAGAATTCATTTCCAGGTGAATTATGTGATTAATTTCTCATAGAGATTTAGTGTTGGGAATAGGAGTATTGATTTGACAATGCCAAATATATTGGCCATTCTTGGGGTCTTTTTAAGTTAAGCTTTTACTCCATCTTTCAGAAGTCTCTTAGTTAAACAAAATGGCAAACTTTTCTTTTTCTTTCTTCCTGTCTGCTTTGGCATCATGCTGCATATATTTTCATATCGAGAAACAACTGTCTCCTCCTTTTCTTCTTTCTCTCCATTGCTCTCTGGGGGTCAGGGCACAGATTTGGATTCTTGAAAAGCTTGTCCTCATGTGTTTCTGATTGACCTCCTTACTCTCCCTTATTAATTAAGGACAGAGAGTTACTGTATTTAGTGACATGTAGTTGTAGATAACTTAATGCAATCTCTGCAACAACCACAGAAGTCACAAGCTTTGTTTTACCTTTATAACTTTACCAAATGATGTTGCAAAATAATTTTCTATACTGTCCCTGTTATCTCTTTTCAAAATCTTTATAGAAGATAGGACTTTTTTGTCTGAGACAGCATTTCGCCCTGTTGCCCAGGCTGGAGTACAGTGGCTTGATAACGGCTCATTGCAGCCTCAACCTCCTGGGCTCAAACAGTCCTCTTGCCTTAGCCTCCTGAGTAACTGGGACTACAAGCCCATGCCATCATGTCTGGCTATTTTTTTTAAAAAACTCTTTTGCAGAAACGGAATTTTCCTGTATTGCCCAGGCTGGTTTTAAACTCCTGGGCTTAAGTGATCCTCTGGCCTCGGCCACCCAAAGTGTTGGGATTACAGGCATGAACCACTGCACCCAGCCAGATTAGAATATTGTAACTTAAGTAATTAAATAAGAAGATGTAGAAGAGAAAAATTCTCTGAAGGATCATTCCAAAGACATAGTTGGAAATTTTGATTATGTGCTAATTTAGGTAATCTTAGGATTTTCAGGAGTGTGGTCTTATATCTGTTTGTTCATGTTTCTTAAGTTTAGAAGATGAAATATTCCTTATCAAGAAAGATATGTAAGGCAAAAATACTGTGAAGTCAAAAGTAATAGTATTAATTTTGAGAGTTGTAAAAAAAAGTTTGTAAAAATGGTGCAGGGAGCCCTCTTCATTCCACACCCGGGCAGATCTCCAGGCCTTTGGAGCACCCGCTTGCCTCGTTCTATATCTTGAGCTGCCCCACCCCTTCTGTCCAGAGATCCTGGTATAGCAGAGCCTTCTTCACTCCATGCCCAGTCAGATCTCCAAGCATTCAAAGCACCTGCTCACCTCATCTGGATTGGCAACCTCAGTTGCCCCACCCTTCCTTTGCAGACATCCAGGTGCAGGAGGGGCCCTTTCTGCTTTACATCCAGGCAGATCTCCAGGCAGTTAGAGCACCTGCTCACTTTGTTCAGCATCCTGAGTCACTCACTCTTCCTGTGCAGAGACCATGGTGCAGCTAGGCCTCTGCTCCACACCCAGGCAGATCTCCAGGCATTTGGAGCACCAGTTCACCTGGAATGGCAGCTTAAGCTGCCTCACCCTTTCTACACAAAAACTCTGGTGTAGCAGGTTCCTCTCTCCTCCATGCCCCAGCAAATCTCCAGGGATCTGGAGCACTTACACTCCTGGATTAGGAGTTTAGGCTGCCTCCACTTCCTCTGCAGAGACTTGGGGCTAAGGATGTTTCCCAGCTTCATGTTTAGGCACACTCTGGGTGCTTGGTGGCTTTCTACTGGATTCTCCATCAGTGCTGGTGCTTGTGCCTGCTATCAGGGGATGACCATCTTGCCTCATGCCCCCAGGACTGAGAAGGGAACTCAGAACACTATGGGCTCCACAGATCAGCCCATTGCCTAAGGCAACAGAGAGCATCTCCCCATAAATAAGGATCAAGTATATATCCAGACACATTGGCTGCAGTAGGTTCTTACTGATAAGTGCCATCTACTGGCTGTAGGTCAAACCAAACAGCCGTATGTAAAAGCTGCTGATAGAAATGCATAGGGCTATAGAAGCAAAGCCAAAAGATCCTACCCAGCATTCTCTGCAGTTGCAACACAGAGGGAGTGGGGAGAAGGGAAGGGGAAAGAAAACACACACACACACACACACACACACACACACACACACACACACACACCAATAATATTACAGAGAAAGAAAAAGAAAAAATGCAATCTGTACAAAAATAATTACAAAAATTATAGTGCCAACATCTCCAGATGAGAAGGAACCAGCAAAAGAATTTTGTTATTGTGAAAAATCTGAATGTCTTGGCACCGCTGAAGGATCACACTAACTCTCCAGCAATAATTCCTGACCAAAATGGAAACTCAGAAATGACAGATAAATAATTGAAAGCATGGATTACAAGGAAGCTTAGTGAGATCCAAGACATGATTCAAAATCTACACAAAGAAACTTCTAAATCAATCCAGGAAATGAAGAAGGAGATATAACATCTTAAAAGGAAATCAGTCAGCGTTTCTAGAATTGAAAAGCTCACTTAAGGAATTTCAATACAATTGAGGCCGGACGTGGTGGCTCACACTTGTAATCCCAGCACTTTGGGAGGCCAAGGCGAGCGGATCATCTGAGGTCAGGAGTTTGAAACCAGCCTGGCCAATATGATGAAACCCCATCTCTACTAAAAACAGAAAAATTAGCTAGGTGTGGTGGCACATGCCTGTAATCTCAGCTACTCCAGAGGCTGAGGCATGAGAATAGCTTGAACCTGCGAGGCGGAGGTTGCAGTGAGCTGAGATCACACCACTGCACTCCAGCCTGGGCAACAGAGCGAGACTGTCTCCAAAAAAAAAGAAAAAAAAAGAAAAGAAGAAAACAGTTGAAAGCTTCAATATCTTAGACCAAGTGGAAGAAATAATTTCAGAGCTTGAAGACCAATCTTCTTAACCCAGACAAAAATAATATTTTTTTAAATGAACAAAATCTTTGAGAAATATGGGATAATGTAAAGTGATCAAACCTTCAAATTATTGGCATTCCTAAGTGAGACAGAGAAAAGGTAAACAACCTGGAAAACATATTTGAGGGAATAATCCCAGAAAAATCCCCTAACCTTGCTAGAGAGGTGAATATCCAGATTCAAAAAATCTGGAGAACATCTGGGAGATACTATATAAAATGAACACCACCAAGACTTACTCACCAGGATGTCTAAGGTCAATGCTAAAGAAAAAATGTTAGAAAGAAAAAAGCAAGATCACATATAAAGGGAACACCATTAAGCTAACAGCAGATTTCTCAGAAGAAACCTTACAAGCCAGGAGAGTTTGGGGGCCTGTTTTCACCATTCTTAAAATAAATCTCGGCCAAGAATTTCATATCCCACCAAGATAAGCCTCATACGCAAAGGAGTAATAAAATGTTTTCCAGACAAGCAAGTGCTGAGGGAATTTCTTACCACTAGATCAGCCTTACAAGAGATCCTTAAGGGTGTTCTAAACATGGAAATGTAAGAACAATACCCACTACCACAAAAACACACATAAGTACATGGCCCACAGATTCTGTAAAGGCACTATACAATAGAAACTATAATGCAACCAAGTAACAACTTCATGATAGGCTCAAAATGCTATATATCAATATTAACTTTGAATATAAACTGACTAAACCTCACACTTTTAAAGGGCATAGAATTGTAAGTTGGATTAAGGAAAGAAAAACAAGACCTATCTCTCTGCTGTTTTCAGGAGACCCATCTCACATGTGATTACACAAGTAGGCTCAAAGTAAAGGGTTGGAGAAAGATCTATCACTCAAATGGAAAACAAACAAGAGCAGGGGTCACTATTTTTATATCAGATAAAACAGACTTTAAGCCAACAACAATAAAAAAGGAGAAAGAAGGGCGTTACATAATGATAAAGTGTTCAATTCAACAAGAAGACTTAACTATCCTAAATATATATGCATGCAACATTGGAACAACCAGATTCCTGAAACAATTACTTGTAGACCTACAAAAGGACTTAGCCACACAATAATAGTGGGGGCTTCCACAACGCACTGACAGCATTAGACAGATCATCAAGGCAGAAGACCAACAAGGAAATTCTGGACTTAAATTCTACCCCTGACCAACTAGACCTAATAGGCATCTACAGGATATTCCACTCATCAACCACAGAATATACATTCTTCTCATTTGCATTTAGGACAGATGACCACATGCTCAGTCATAAAGCAAGTCTCAGTAAATTAAAAAAAAAAATCAAAGTCATACCATCCATACTCTTAGACCACAGTGGAATAAAAATAAGAATCAATACCAAGAGGATTTCCCCAAACTTTGCAATTACATGGAAATTAAACAACTTCCTCCTGAATAACTTTTGATTAAACAATTAAAGCAGAAGTCAAAAAATTCTTAGACATAAATGAAAACAGAGACAAATCATACCAAAATCCTTGGGATACAGGAAAAACAGTGTTAAGAGGAAAGTTTACAGCACTAAATGGCTACCTAAAAAAATTAGAAAGATCTTAAATTAACTAACATCACTCCTAGAGGAACTAGAAAAACAAGAACAACCTAACCCCAAAGCCAGAAGAAGAAAAAACATAACTAAAATCAATGCAGAACTGACTGGAATTGAGACCTAAAAATATATTAAAAATAAATGAAATCAAAAGTTGGTTCTTTGAAAGGATAAAGATCAATAGAACACTAATTAAAGGAAGAGAGAAGATCCAAGTTAACACAATCAGAAATGACAAAGGTGACATTACAGCTGATCCCATGGAGATAGAAAAGATTGTCAGAGACTATTAGGAACAACTCTATGTATACAAAGTAGAAAATCTAGAGGAAATTGGTAAATTTCTGGAACACATAACCTCCCAATATTGCATCAGGAAGAAATGGAAACTCTGAACAGACCAATATCAAGTTCCACAATTGAATTAATAATAAAAACCTACCAATCAAAAAAAGCCCAGGACTAGATTGTCTCATAGCCAAGTTCTACCAGAAGTGCAGAGAAGAGATGGTATCAATTCTACTGAAACTATTGCAAAAAATTGAGGAAGATGGACACCGCCTTATCATCGAGGATGATGAAGCCAGCATCATCCTGATATGAACAACTAGGAAAGAAACAATGAAAACAGAAAACTAAAAGCCAATATGCCTGATGAACAAAAATCCTAAACAAAATACCAGCAAACCAAATCCAGCAGCACATCAAAAAGATCATTCACCACAATCAAGTAGGCTTCATTCCTGGGATGCAAGGTTGGTTCAGAATTCACAAATCGATACATGTGCTTCACCACATAACAGAATTAAGAACAAAAACCATTTGATCATCTCAGTCGATTTGCAAAAAGGCTTTGATAAAATCCAACATCCCTTCATGATAAAGACCCTCAGTAAGCTAGGCATTGAAGGAACATAGTTCAAAATAATAAGAGCCACCTATGACAAACCCACAGCTAACATCATACTGAACTGACAACAGCTGGAAGCATTCCTCTACAGAACTGGAAAAAGACAAGGATACCCACTCTCGCCGCTCCTATTAAAACATAGTACCAGAAGTCCTGGCCAGAGCAATCAGGCAAGAGAAAGAAATAAAAGGCATCCAAATAAGAAATCAAGTGAAATTATCCATCTTTGCTGACAATATGATTCTATACAGAGTCTAAAGAGTCCGCCAAAAAGCTCCTGGAATTGATGAATGACTTCAGTACAGTTTCAGAATATAAAATCAATGTATAAAATCCAGCATTATTTCTATACACCAGCAGCATTCAAGCTGAGAATTAAATCAAGAATGCAATTTCATTTACAATAGCCACAAAAAATTAAAAGGCCTAGGAAAATGTCTAACCAAGGAGGTTAAAGATCTCTGCAAGGAGTACTACAAAACATTGCTGAAAGAAATCATAGATGACACAAACAAATGGAAAAACATTTCGTGCTTTTGGATTGGAAGAATCAATATTGTTAAAATGGCCATGCTGCCCAATGCAATCTATTGATGCAGTGCTATTCCTATCAAACTGCCAATGTTGTTTTTCACAGAATTAGAAAAACATATTCTAACATTCATATGGAATCAAAGAAGAGCTTGAATATCCAAAGCATTCCTAAGGGAAAAGAACCAAGACAGAGGCGTCACACTACCTGAATTCAAACTATATTATAAGGCTACAGTAACTGAAACAGCATGATACTAGTACAAAAATAGACACATAGACCAAAGGAACAGAATAGAGAACCCAGAAATAAAGCCACACACCTACAGCCACCTGATCTTTGACAAAGTTAACAAAAATAAGTGATGGGGAAAGGACTCCCTATTTAATAAATGTTTCTTGTATAGATGGCTGTCCATATGCAGGAGAATGAAAGTGGATCCCTCCCTTTCACCATATATAAAAATTAACTCAAGATGGATTGAAGATTTAAACGTAAGACCTCGAAACTCTAAGAATCCTAGAAGAAAATTTAGGAAACATCGTCTGAGCATCGGCCTTTGGAAACGATTTATGACTAAGTTCACAAAAGCAATTGCAACAAAAGCCAAAATTGATAAGTGGGACCTAATTGAAGAGTTTCTGCACAGCAAAATAAACTATCAACAGAGTAAACAGAATGGGAGAAAATATTCAGAAACTGTGTATCTGACAAAGATCTGATATCTAGAATCTCTGAGGAACTTACACAATTTAACGAGCAATAACCAAATAACTCCATAAAAAGTGAGCAAAATACATGAACAGAAACAGACACTTCTCAAAAGAAGACATTCAAGCGGCCAACAAACATGAAGAAATGCTCCACTCACTAATCATCAGAAAAATACAAATCAAAACCGTAATGAGATACCATCTCAAATCAGTTAGAATGGCTATTATTAAAAGTCAAAAACAGGTGCTGGGAAGGCTGTGTAGAAAAGGGAACGCTTATACACTGCTGGTGAGAATGTAAATTAGTTCAGCCACTGTGGAAATCAGTTTGGAGATTTCTCAAAGAACTTAAAACAGGAACTGTCATTCATCCCAGCAGTCTCATTACTGGGTATATATCCAAAAGAAACGAAATTGTTCTACCAAAAAGACACATGCAGTTTTATGTTAATTACAGCACTATTCACGATAGCAAAGCTGTGGAGTCAACCTACATGCCCATCAGTAGTGAATTGGATTAAAAAAATGTGGTACATATACACCACAGAATATTGCACAGCCATTAAAAAGAATGAAATCGTGTTCTTTGCAGCATCATGGATGCAGCTGGAGGCCATTATCCTAAGTGAATTAACACAGGAACAGAAAACCAAATATTGCATGTTTTCACTTGTAAGTGGGAGCTAAGCATTGGGTACACTTGGACATAAGTTGGGAACAATAGACACTGGAGACTGCTGAGTGGGGTTGCTAAGGAAGGGGGAAAAGGGTTGAAAAACCTTTGGGTACTATACTTACTACCTGCATGACAGGATCATTCATATCCCATACCTCAGAATCATGCAATATACTAATATGATAAACCTGTACATGTAGCCCCGTAATCTAAAATGAAAGTTGAAATTACTTAAAAAGTATTTTTTTAAGAAAATTTGAATGAATAGTCAGCATGATAAGGGATAAAAAACAAAATCCAGAGGACTGTTAATAACCATATTGCTTGAGAATTTTGGAATGTCAAAGTAATGGTCTAAATGATTGAGTTAATTTTAATAGGGGTTGTGCCCCATATTTTAATTTTCTTTCCTAAAGAAAAATAGCAGTACTTTACCATATAAAAATTACTTGTACTAAATTTAGTGTCAATAACATGATAACTACCCTTTATTAAGCAATTATTTTGTGTACAATATAGTACATCCCTTTGTCTCATTTACTCCTCACAATGCCGTATGAGGTGGGTCCCATTATTGTCATCTTCATTTAACAGTCAGGAATCTTAGGGCTTAGAGAGGTTTAGCATCTTGCCTATGTTCACACAGGTAGTTAGTGGCAAAGTTTGTTTAGCTCATTCCCATCTGGTGGCTTGAAGCTATCATTTTCCTAATCAGTACACCATTACTGCTTCCATAGTGCAAGACCTTGGAAAGATGTGATCCTCTCTGAATATTCCAAATAGTTCTCACATATACTCTGACTTGTTTTAATTATGACTCAAATAGAAGCAAACACTATTTCTTTATAAGAAAACGAACCACTTGGAAGTTCCTATCCATTGAAGATGTGCTCAGCTGATCTCCAGATGTGTTAATAACTCTATTAAATTTTTATCTTGAAGATTTATTTCAAAATCTTGGAGATAGTTGAAGAATTTTTCATTTATTATGCCTGAATAAAAGAAAGACTTTAAAAGTACCTATAATCTTTGAGAAAGATTGTTCTGGACGGTTAATAGTTTTCACTCTAGTAGGTATTAATTTATCTTGTTAGCATTTCTTGAGCAGTTTCAAGCCTCCTGGTCACATGTAGTACTTCCTTTCCTCCAGGTGGAGAGGAAAGCCATTGCCTAGTTACCTGCTTTAAGAGATGACAGGCTCCCTGGCTTTGCTTGCTTTAAGGTGGCTAAGTCAGGCTGAAGAATAACAGCTACATGTCATATAGCAGGACTTGAGAGCTAAGTTTGGTGTGTCCCTATAGTGCTATATAATTTAAATAGCCAACTAATTGTTGGGATCCCTGTTCCAATACTCCTCACCATTCTCTCATAAATGTCTGCATCCCACCTGCCATCTTTAAACATAATCTTTTGCATCCTCCCCAGAAACAGCTCTCATTATCTTGCAGTGAAGCTGTCTGGCATTTGTAGAGATACTTGTGATTTTCAGTTTGTGAGCATTTTACACATATGTGTTGGTTTACAGGTGTCATGTTTGGATTTTACCATAAGCTTCATTGTATTAGTTTGCTAGGGCTTGAAATAACAATGTCCCACAATCTGGGTGGCTTAAGCTACATGTACTTTCTCAGTTCTAGAGGCTAGAAGTCTGAAATCAAGGTGTCTGCAGGGTAGGTTCCTTCTGAGGATTGTTAGGGAGAATCTGTTCCATGCCTCTGTCCTAGCTTCTGGTGGTGTGCTGGCAATTTTGGGCATTCCTGGCTTGCAGGTGCATCACCCCTCTTGTTGCCTTCTCCACATGGCATTCTTCCAGTGTGTGTGTGTGTGTGTGTGTGTGTGTGTGTGTGTGTGTGTCTGTGTGTGTCTGTGTCCAAGTTTTCCCTTTCTGTCAGGACATGAGTTATATTTGATTAAGGTCCACCCTAATGATCTCATTTTGATTTGATTGCCTCCATAAATGACTCATTTCAAAAAAAAATGCATTCTGAGGTGCTTGGGGTTAGAACTTCAACATATCTTTTTGAACAGTTCAATCCATAACACTTACTAGTGTCAAACCTCACTAACTTGGCATTGCATTCATGACAGTGTTGTTCTTTTTCTGCCTGTAATACGTGTCATTCATCCTTTACCTATTGGTTCTTTTTAAAGTACAAACAAAGGATATTTATTTGCCCCATCAAGAGATTTGTGTAATTCTTTTTTTTTTTTTTGTTTGAGACAGGGTCTCACTCTGTCGCCCAGGCTGGAGTGCGGTGGTGCATGCAGTCTTGGCTCACTGCAACCTCTGCCGCTGAGGCTTAACCGATTCTCATGCCTCAGCACCCCCGAGTAGCTGGGACTACAGGCACGTGCCACCACACCCAGCTAATTTTCATATTTTTTTGTAGAGACGGGGTTTTGCCATGTTGCCCAGACTGGTCTCGAACTCCTGAACTAAAGTGATCCACCCACCTCGGCTTCCCAAAATGTTGGGATTACAGACATGAGCAACCATGCCCAGTGGGTGTGTGTAATTCTTGATTGTGGAGTAGTTGCTATTAGGCATAGTTTAGAAGCTTGAGGAGGAATAGAAAGTGTTTTTAATTATTCTTGATTCTTTTGGATCTCTTATCCATGTAGGAACACATACACTGGAGAGAAGTTAACTGAGATTCCTATACAGGTAGTCTGCTTTGTAGTGAGCTTGGCTTCTAACAAATGGCTGGTTAACCCTGTTCACATCAACATACAAAACTCACAAATATGCTTTTAAGAAAAAGCTTTGAACTTACCACATTCTCATATTTGAGTAGAAAGTTTTTGTTTTTTGATCAGTGTTCTCCAGATTTCTTCTCTGTCTCTCTCTCTGTCTTTGTCTTTCACTGTCTCTTTGTCTCTCTCTCTCTCTCTCTGTTTTTATGTTTAGATGGGGGGTGGCAGTTATCATTACTTCTGACTGCTGACTGCTGATCTCTCTTCTGGTTTGGTTTTCTGATTATGTTCTCTCTTCTAAATTCCTGTAGCATTTAATATAGGATTAAAAAATTATGCATCGTATAATACTTTGGAAAATTAAAATATATGGCATTTTAAAATGTCTTTAATTCAGCACCTTGAAATCATCTTTTTACCTCTCAGTTTACCAAGGACTTCTGTATATTCAGAGATGTGTTAATATTTTTTGAACTTATTCAACTAGTGATGAATATTCATTGTATTGTTTATAATTATGCCTTTTTTATGCTGTCGGTGAAAAAGAGGTGACTCAGATGAGGATTCTGCCCTCGGGAAACTTAATCTTGAAGGGAGATGGTACAAATACATAAGTAATTCTATATAAATGAAGATGTATCAATACTATATTCTATATAAGCTAGAACGTAGTGAGAAAGGCCCAGGTACACAGTGGCTCGTGCCTGCTATCCCAGCACTTTGCAAGGGCAAGGCGGGTGGATCACCTGAGGCCAGGAGTTCGAGACCAGCCTGGCCAACATGGTGAAAGCCTGTCCCTCTTAAAAATAGAAAAATCAGCTGGGTGTGGTGGCATGCACTTACAATCCCAGCTACTCGGAAGGCTGAGGCACGAGAGTCACTCAAACCCGGGAGGCAGAGGTTGCAGTGAGTCGAGATTGCACTATTGCACTCCAGCCTGGGTGACAGAGCGAGACTCTGTCTAAAAAAAAAAAAAAAAATCGTAAAACAAAAACATCCAGGTAAAATGGTGTGGGGTTTCAAAGGGAATGAAGAGAGGATGATGTTGACTAAAGTATTTTAAATGTTTTCTCTCCAGTGGCCACTGATTGAGTTTAGAAGCCACATCTTTGTGTGCTTTTAAATCAAGCTTCCCTCATCACTATGTGTCTTTGTGGAATCCTTGGCACTGTTCCCTTTTGGGGCTTACTCCTTCCCCCCAAGCAAATATAATGAGATATTCACTCATTGGTTATCAGACTCTCCACTAAATTTGTTGAACTTTGAGGGCCTTAAGCTAAAAGTAAACAGATTCACTTTGATTATTGTGGTAGTTTTGGTTAAGCAAAAGTGTTTTGTTTGAGTATTGAAGTGGAATTGGCTTTAAGCAATATGATCTGGGAGGATTGGTGGTTTGCTTATGCAAGGGCACCCATGAATACCTGGTTGTTGAAAATAAGAGCTACTACCTCTCACAACCTCAAGACCCAAAGTTGAGACATAGTGGGACCCATATTCTCCTCAATGTACTTTGATCTGCTGGTAGATCACACCTGAGTCCCCCAGGTTCTGCACCCTACCTCAAGTAGTGAGTGGGTATGAGTCTTTGCTCTCCCTGGGGCAGGGTCCTCTCCTTTCTTTCCTACTGAATCTAGGGGGTATGTGAGTCTATAGCTGCTTTTGATTTTCTCAGACTTCACATGCCATTTAGAGGAAAAACAGCTTGCTCTTTGTTCTGCTTCTAGAATTGGAGTATTCAGACTAAGTTGTCCCACAGATGATCCTGATCTCTGGTCACTTTCTCTGCTTATGTTCAGTTTCTGTTGAGGTGAAGATGCCAAAGCATTACTTCTGCAGGAGCCTGCCAAAGAAAAGCCTGCCCACACTGGTTTGTGCCAGCCATAAATTGTTATCTCAGAGGTCAATGAGAACAATGAAGGAATTTGCTCACTTTATGTGACATGAGATTTATGTGATTGAAAGTGCCAATCTTCTTTTAGCATTTCATCCTGCCAATTTGTGCAGAATAATTGAACTTGAATTAAACGACCTTATAAATTGAGAGACTACACCAAACCAAGACTGAAATATACTAAATACAGTTCAAAGAGCTCTTCAAAACCCCAGGAGAAATAGGGGGGAAGAAATGCTATTAATTAAAACAAGCAGCAGCGCAAGAAGAAAGGCAGCAGCAGTTAACCACCTTTTCACAATATGTGAGATTAAAGATGCAGTTCTTACTGCTTGCACTAAAGGTCAAGTTCATTGAAACACTATCAGGAGGAGTTTGAAGAATTCTAGAAGTCAGTAATCCCCAGATGGAAAACACTGGATTCCTGGTTCATTGAAGCTGCAATCTTAAGTGTTGACACCTAGACTGTCATGTGGACTTCAGAGTCCTGAGAGGTTACCTGCCCACAAATGGGAGCTTTCTACAAAGAGACACTAGTCTGATTACATTTTACAAGCTCTGCTGTAGGATGCTCCCGAGGCCCATGCTGTTTCTCCTTAGGTCTGCTCTGACTTCTTTTAGACTTTGGGCTCTTGGACCAAAGCTTATTATTACAGCTCACTTCAAAGATCAAGCCTGTAACTGCACTATTTAATCAATGAAAATAACATCACAGTATAATACAATCAGTGTTAGTTTTATAATTTAATGAACAAAATACAGCATTACAATGTATAACAGGATAAACTGAGGGAAGAAAAGCTAACAGAGTAAATGCAGTTCACAATATGGGATTTTCCGATCTGTGTTCCTTCAGATCTGTGTATAGGTGAAAGTTTGAAAAGTAGGGTTCCTATCCTTAGCTAGTCCAAGGAGGATAATAGCCCACCCACCAACATCTGCTAATTTTATTTTATTTTTAAACCCTAAATCCTACTCAAATTGCAGATTCAGCCCTGACGTCCTTTAGAGGAAGAATGCAGACATTAGAGTCTGGTTCATTGGTACAGCTGGTTTCATTTAGCTTGCAGCAGATAAACAAACAATGCTTAATCTTTTTGATGAAAGTGACAGTGAGGATATTGTTTAAGCAAGAAGATGATTTTAATTATTAGACTAAATTGTACTGGAATAACTTTCCTATTAGACAGTGTTTAAACGTATTGGCCTCTCTTAGCCATGTTTATTATCAGGTTCTTTGATCATTTGGACAGGAGACGCTCAATACAATCAGTGATATTTGCTGTTGTTAAAATTGTGGTCATATGTCAGCTATGCCCATCTGGTGGAAATGGAGGCACTCTTTGGGGTTTTTTTTTTTTTAAAGAGTTAGTGTAGAAATGTTCAATTACTGAAATAATTGAAAGTCATTATGTGAGGACTCCTAAAACCCCTCTCCCAAAGTGGTTTTTGAGGAGGACTTGGGGAAGGATATAATTGACTTCAGGTTAAAGCATACCCATGTTCCTGAGCTGCTTTATTGTTACTGTCATCCTTTTGTTTAAACCAGGATGGTAGGGAAGGAGCATTTCTAGTCTAAACCAGTGGTTCTCAACTAGGGATAATTTTGTTTGCCAGGATATATTTGTTGGTGTCTGGAGACATTTTTGGCTTTCACAACTTGAGGAGTGGTGGTGTCACTGGCATGTAGTGGGTAGAGGCCAGAGATGCTGCGGAATATCCTATGAATGAACAGGACAGTCTCCTGCAACAAAGAATTATTTGGCCCAAAATGACATTAGTGCTGAGATTGAGAAACCCTGGTCTTAAGAAATGCATGGAGGCAGTGTCTGTTTAAGATAGTGCATTCCTTTTGAGGTTGTAGTAACTCTCTACTGTGTTCTGTGGGCTGAGTGGGCCAGGCAATAGGTGTGTAGTGGTGAACAAAATTGACAGGTCCCCTGTTTTTATTAAGCATATTATCCAGTGAGGGAGGCAGAAATTAATCAAGTCAGCAGACAGAATCTGTAATTGTAAATTATGTAAAGGAAAAGAGAGCTGAGGAAGAATTAAGACCGAGAGTAGTGGGTTATGTATATTTGCATAAGAGAGGGGTATAGATAGTAAATATACATTGGATGGATGGAAATGGAAGCCTTGTTGAGGAGAGGACATTTATGCATAGGTCTGAAGGAGGAGATGTCACCAGGCAGGTAAAGAGCAGGCACAAGAGTGTTTCATGCCAGGCCCTGAGGTGAGAAAGAGCTTGGTGTGTTTTATACCAAATGAAGGAGCTAATTTTATTTTATTTTTTGAGGTATGGTAGGACTCATAGTTTTCTCATTGTACTGGGATCTGCTGGTGGGTCACATCTGAGTCCCTCCAGGGTTTGGCACCCTCCCTCAAGTTGTAAGTAGGTGTGAATTTTTGCTCTCTCTGGGATAGGGTCCTCTCCTTTCCTCCTACTGAATCAAGGGGGTATGTGAAAAGTGAGAGAGCACAAAAACAATGAACAGATAAGTTACAAACGTGACAGATATTAATACAGACATATCAAAATCACTTAAAATGTAATTGGTCTAAAGATACCAATTAAAAGACAGAGATTGTCAGGGTGGATAAAAAAACAAGACCCAACTATATTTTATCTATGAACTATCCTTTAAATACAAAGGTGCAGATTGAAAGCAAAAAGATAGAGAAATATATGCCATGTTAACGCAAATTAAAAGATAGCTGGAAGGCCCGGTGTGGTGGCTCACCCTTATAATCCTAGCACTTTGGGAGGCTGAGGCGGGCAGATTACTTGAGATCAGGAGTTTGAGACCAGCCTGGGCAACAGGGGGAAACCCTGTCTCTAACAAAAAACACAAAAATTAGCCAGGCATGGTGGCACATGTACCTGTAATCCCAGCTACTCAAGAGGCTGAGGCAGAAGAATTGCTTGAACCCGGAGGCAGAGGTTGCAGTGAGTACCACTGCACTCCAGCCTGGGCAAGAGAGTGAGACCCTGTCTTAAAAAATTAACATAGCTGCAGTAGCCGTGTTAATTTCAGACAAAGCAAGTACTTCTGATGATTCAGAAGATCATCAAGATTAAAGAGAGGCATTACATGATGATAAAGAGCTTAGTTCTCCAAGAAGACAACCAACTTTATTGTATACACACCAAACAACAGAGTGTCAAAATACGTGAGGCAAAAATTGATAGAACTGAAAGGTGAAATGGACAAATCCACTATGGTGGTTGTGACTTCAACACCACTTTGTCGGTAATTGACAGATTAAGCAGGCAGAGATATCACTAAGGATTCGATGATCTGATCAGTACTGCCAAAGTAAACAAAGTGGAAGCTGCCAATATTTCAAGGCCTGGACCCAGAACTGGCACAGTGCTCCTTTCACCTACTCTTGATCAAGTGTTCAAAGAGACCAGATCCAAGCGTAGGGGCCATAGACCACACCTCTCAATGAGGAGTGTCAATGAATTTGGGGGCCGTGTTTTAAAACCCCGTATAGAGTTTGGTTTTTATTCTAGGCTGAATTAAATCTTTGGTCTCATCTTTGTACACAGTTCTCTCAGCTATCTGTTCTGAACATATATTTGCTGACTCCTTTTTGGGTTAATTTCATTAGATTTTAGATCTCTCCTTGAGAACAATAAAGACACAGGGTGGGGAACATCACACACTGGGGCCTGTCGTGGGGTGGGGGGATGGGGGAGGGATAGCATTAGGAGAAATACCTAATGTGAACGATGAGTTAATGGGTGCAGCAAACCAACACAGCACATGTATACATATGTAACAAACCTGCATGTTGTGCACATGTACCTTAGAACTTAAAGTATACATTTAAAAAAAGGTTCTGTTTAGTATAAATGGCTTTGTATAGAGGGGGCCCTTCTGTCCTAGTGTACCTGGCACAGTTCTGGTTTATGCTTGTCATTTTCATGATTATTAATAGTGCTCTTTTTACTCTGAATACTGTCCCATTTGGATGATAAATTATATGATCATATTATATAATTTTTATTTTTCTGGAACTTGGTAAAATATTTTGCCAAAAACCGAAATTTGATTGGAATATGTTATTGTGGGATCCAACTGAGTATTTAGAGCCATTAATGTCAGTGAATCTGTGGGAGCATTTTTGAACAGTTTATGAGTGCTGTTGAATCTGTAATGCAGATTTGTGAATTGATTTTAAAAGTTTCGTGGGAGGTTAATGAACTTTATGTACAGTTCTTAGACAGAAAGGTCTGGCAATTAGACATGATTTTTGTGAAATAGGAACTAATCAATCTAAAATTCAAATGACCTACTCAGGTGCCTTACTACTCGTAACATAAATGTTAGGCTTAGAGTAATTCAAGATAGCTGAAATGCTGGAAATGTGAAAGAATTAACAAGGTGGGGTTTGGGTGAAATTAGGTGCTGTTAGAGCTCAAAGCTAACAGGTTGCGGTGTCAGTGAGTTTTAGTCAAATGCTCCCAGTCTATTTAGCACTGGCTCATACAAAGGAAGTATACTGTACTACTAGTAGGAATTGTAACAATGGAGAGATGGCAGGTACCTTAAAAATCTAGGATTGCAATTTGCATAGAGTAATTCAGTGCAAGATTGTATGGTAGACACTGTTGATGTTGGGGAGATGATCTGACAGAAAGGAAATTATTTTAAAGATTTCAGGCGTAAGACTTTTTTTTATGCTTAATGGTTGATTCTTGAGCAAATATGTTTTCCCTTCCTTCTAGAGTTCTGAGGAAACAGACATAACATTTGCCTGTATAAACAAATTCTTTGAATTTTTAAAAGATATCTGTCTCTAGTTCAGAAGGGTCTCTTTGGGATTGCTGTGTTTTTAACTATCTCTGTTTTCAGGGACTTAATGATCCTAGAGATCTGCAAGCATTGTCTGAGCTGAGGGAAAATTGTAAACATCAGGCACTTTGGTTAATAGTTGAAAGACCTGTTGTAACCCAACAGAGAATAAGGTAGAAGTCATTCCTAATTGGCCTGATGGGTGAGACAGGAGAGTGAATTCTCATGCAGCTTAGCAGTCAGCATAGGTATTGAAAGACAAGCCCCTGGGGAAGCAAGAGAGGAACCAAGGGCTTTTGTTGTATGTCTCATCAAACCTCTTAGGAGAAAGAAGAGGGAAATTGAGATATTGAGAAACCAAACAAGTAGTGTTACAAATGAGGCCTACTGGGAGTCCCAAAGGAAGCCAGATTCCTAATGAGAAAGCAATGGTCTAGGTTAAACAGTGACTTTTTTATTAAAAAAAGTTATTTTTTTTTTACTACTTGTTCTTGAGAAAGTTTCATGGCTAAGTGCTGGAGAGTTGAGGGCACCTGGAACTGTGCCCAAAGCAGAGCATAAAGGATTATTAAATTAAAAGAATGTGTATCATCTCAGTGAAACAGAAGGGATGAAATAACAGACCACCAATATTTAGAGCTGGGCAAAGAGAGAAGTGAAGAACAGAGGAGAGATTGTCTAGAGAGGTGGCGAGAAAACCAGCAAAGTACCAAGGAAGAAAGAGAGTTTCAAAGAGCATGGACGATGATGTCAGATATTCAGAAAAGTCAAATCAATGAATCCTGAAAGTAATTTATTACATTTTACAACTAGGAAGGTTTTTTTTTTTTTTAAGAATGTTAAGGGACTGGTGGGGATGGATACTAATTATTTTGTGTTGAAGAGAGAATGGGGGATGAAAAAATGTAGGGTAAAATACATATAAGCTACTCTTTTTAGCAGTGAGGCAGGGAAAGAAAAGAGAACTAGAAGAAAGGGGAGAAGTGTTTTGTGTTGTTTCAGTTTTAAACTAAATGGGGAATAATCGAGTATGTATATAGACTATGACAAAGGAGTCAGTAGAAAGAGAAAAAGTTATTAAGGAAACACTTGAAGTATATTCTTGATGGAGAAATCTGAGGAGCTCTATTTTCTCTGTCACTTGAACTTTATTTCATATGCTCCATGTAATTGGTCTTCCTGTTTCTTTTTCTAATAATGTGTAGATATGAAATAGCTCTTTTTATTGTCGGCTTCATCTCATTTAGGATCTAGACGTATAAGAAAATTATCCTTCTTAAATATCTTTTATTTTTATTCATGTTCTTTTGAAATTCAGGTACATCATGGAACTCTCTGTGTAGCACATTTGTTTTTCTTCTTTGCTCCATTTTCTTCATTGATACTAGTTGTGATTTTTTTTAATGACATCTCTTTTTTTGTGAATTTTCTTCCTTGATACCACTTCTCTCTTTGTAATTTAGAGTTATGAAATAAAGCTACTATTTATTGAACACTCCATTTTTTTCACCTGTGAAAACAGGGTTAATAATAGAATTGATTTCATACAGCTGTGAAGAATGTATGTAAGCAAATACATTTAGTGTTTAGAACATTGTCTCACATAAATGTTCAATGAATATCAGCTACTTCTTTTTCGTTTCTTATAACAATCCTAGAAGAGATTTGAGATAATACAATTTCCCTTATTTTACGGGTGAAGAAACTGAGACCCATAAAGTTTGAGTAATTTGCCTACAATCACACAGCTAAGTTCCAGGGCCAGAATTCAGATCCAGTTAGTCCAACTCCAGAGCTGAGTTCTTAACTTTTACCATTTTTTGTAAAACTTCAAAATCTGCTTTCTTGAAATCTATTCTTACCCTACCCTTCTGTCATGCCATGACTATGCCAATTGTAAGGTCCAGGGTCAGGTTTGAGCCCCAGCCGAGGTCCGAGGGGAGTGGGTAGATGGGCAGATAGCTGAAAGAACACTCGGGGGGCCATAGGCAGGGGAATATGGTTTTATTCAGCAGCTCTCTCATCAACAGCTCTCTCACACTGTCCGCCTTTATCTTGGTTGTCTGCTCCGGCTCCACAGCTCCTCTCAGCAGCCAGCTCTGCCGCTCTGGCTGCTCCCACACACAGCTGCACGGCCAGCTCTCCCTTGCCTGCAGTGTCAGCAGCTTAACTCCTTCCCTCTGGGCATGAGTGTGAGCCATGTCGAGCCATGTAGTACCCTGGCTCCCCTCTGTCCATCTGCAAGATGGACAACTCCGGTACTCTCTTTTTCTCTAGGTGCAATAGCCAAGCCATGCCATGCCATACTGACCCATGCTAAACCAAGCCCCCCATGCACAGTGTCAGCAGGGCAATTATACCTTTAACAGACAATAAATAATGGCTTACAGCCAAGTATGAACTTACACAAACAGGTTATTTAACAAGTGGAGTATGTGCCTGCATCCTAAACTCACTGAGTCATGCAGGCCTGGATGTCTGCCTTGGCCTATTTCTTGACCAAAGCACATCCATGTACCTTATACCTTCCTTGTTAATAATTAACTGTAGGGTACATAGCCAATTTCTTGCATAATTCTCTTATTTTCCCTCTGTATCCATGCTGTTTTTTCTCTCTAGTCATTTATTATTAATATTCTCCACTGTTCTAGTCAATTCCACAGTGAAATCATAGCTATTTTCCCCCCTTGTTTCACCTAAGTGATTTGTGAGTTTTGGTATAGTAGGTGCCTGCATGAAATAGAGCGCTCACTGCTCACCTTCCCTTTCTATCAGATAGATTTATTTTGGACAAGGTTTTCTATTCCTTTGCTGCCTTCTCATGTGGACTTCAGCCCAAGATTTGATGGGCTCCATTTCTCTTACTACCTTTTTATTCATTGCCATATAAGCATATGACAAACATAACTCCTGACTCGCCAGCACCTTTCAACCCTTTTATTCTTCTCACAAATAACATAGGAACTAATATTATAGTAAGAACTATACCTGAAAAAATAAAATTTTTTCTAATACGTTTTTGAGTAAATCAGAATCTGAGCCCTCTTGAGCCTCCACCTGAGGTATATCCCCAGCTCTTGCTGTGAATGTAGTTAAGTTTTCAAAATTGAGTTGGGGAGACATTGATTCTCTCAACCTGTTGTGTCCTTTGAAACTCTTGCCAATTTTTCATTATCTTTGTTCTCATGTTTTTAGTCACTTCCTTGTACATTCATATCTACGTAGGTATATTTATATTGTTTACACGTATTTATTCACATAAACTGTCAGATACAACTTTCTTAAATTGCTAATCACTGTTGTGATGATTGATGTGACCTAGACTAACTTACCATTGACCCTCTGTTAAAAAAGGGCTCGTTTAATTAGTAAGACCTGGAGAGAACCACTGTATTTAAGGTTATTTCATCCAATAAACGTGGTTTTGTAGAGGATGTTTATAGTTGTAAATGTAATTATTGTAGCTGGCGCAGCCAGATCTCTATTTAGAGATAATATTAGGAGACACTTAATGATCAGCATGTATAGTTATGTTTCTCTTTCTACTTTTCAAAAACTTTTCCTGGATTTATATATATTTGTGCACATGTGTGTGAGTGTGGGTGTGTGTATATTACAAAGAAAGTTCAGAGAGGTAGCAGCGATTATTTTTGAAAGTTGGAGAAAGCAGAGTTGGCAGGATGAATGATGGCCCTGTGTTTACGTATGTCATTGGTAACAGCTGCACTGAAAAGTTGGGCGTCTCAGTTTCTCATCTGCCACTTTCTTACTGTACTTCAGAGTTGGAGCCATTCCATTATCTGAAATGAGTGAATTGTCCTCTTTTTTCGAATATCCGATATAATTTGTATTTTCTTTTTAGTCACTCAAAATTGGTGATTTTTATAGTATACCGATTGGATGCATATTTGACAACTAAGCAATTGTGTTCTCTCACTTAGATTCAAAATCTGTGAGTTCAGCTGACTAATTAGTGGTCTGGATTTTTAAAATCATGGTAAAACGAAGACAATAAATGATATGTTTCCTTTAAAAATTTGTGTATTTGAAAACAAAGATAAAATGAAAGGTAATCCTATGTATTATAAGCAGACTAAGTTGCTTATCTACCATGGACACAGGACATTACTTTTATAGTGTCGATTTTTGATAGTAATTTTTATATAGCTACATTCCAGGCTTTTTTGAACAAAAGAGTTAATGTTAAGAGGCAAATGGTAGACAGTTACTAATCAGTGATTAAAACCTTTGTTTGCAGATATTTTACATACAAAAATTTAGACATTTATATTCAATTTACCTAATTTACAGATATGCTACTCTTAAAACACTTCTTTTTATAAGCTAATATATTATACAAGCCAAAGTCCTATTTATTTTCTGGGCTAGCATTTGTATCTAAGGTGCTATTATGGAAGGATGACTACTGATTTCCCATCTGTTTCAGTTGGAGAAGAGTCATGCCAATTGTATTCATTGCTCATTTTGGGTGAAAACTGAGCACATATCTAACTGCTTTTGAGTATATGTTGCCCCTGAAGCTAGGTAGTTTATTCTTCTAACACTCATTTTCAACTTAAGTGAAAAGCATATCAGAATGCTTTTTATTAGTGACTGTAAGGATTGACACACACACAAAGGAGAAACATTTAGGAAAGCTGACTTCTGTGATTTCTTTCTCTTTTCTTTCTTTTTTTTTTTGACTGAGCCCTCATTCTGTCACGCAGGCTGGAATACATTGGCACCATCTCAGCTCACTGCAACCTCCGCCTCCTGGGTTTAAGCGATTCTCCTGCCTCAGCCTCCCGAGTAGCTGGAATTACAGGCATGTGCCACCACACCTAGCTAATTTTTGTATTTTTAGTAGAGACGGGGTTTTGCTATGTTGGCCAGGCTGGTCTTGGACTCCTGACCTCAGGCGATCCATCCACCTTGGCCTCCCAAAGTGCTGGGATTACAGGCATGATCCTCTGCGCCTGGCTGACTTAGGTGATTGCTTACTTATTTTATGAATGGTCCTATGAACAGAGAAAGCTGATGTAATCTGTCCTTTGTAGTTGTTTGCTGTTTTAGTCCTCATTTGAGATAGTTGGACTTCATTCACTTCTGAAGTGTTTATTGAAGCCAACTTGTGTGAAAGGCATCTATCCAAGGAAAAGCCATATAAACATGAATTTTCCTCAAAGTGGCCAAATTCTTTTTTCTCACGTAAAAGGAAATTAGATTTTTTTATTAGATGCTAGATTTGGTAGCTGAGGTTTAACATTACTGAATCGCTTCTTGGTTAAGACCTTGCCAGTTGGCCTTACTTTGTAGCACTAAACGCAGCAAAGCAGATTGCTCTATAGAAAAGGGATGCTAATGTCCTGTTTGATGGTGATGAACACACATGTAATTGCTTGTAAAGCCCTGAAAGTAGCTTAGATGTTTTTAACAAATTGTGTATTCAGGTTTTCAAATAATTACAATGAAGATTTGCTACCAGATTTTGTAGTATGTATGTATAACTATAATAGTGAAGTCTTGGTCTTGGAATTCTAACTTTTTAGTATACTTATCTTTTAAGTATATTAACGTTATAGTCTGTTCTGAGGTTTATGTAGTGGACTTAAAAACTCAGTTAATTGACCTTTATTGGGTAGGATTAAAAATGTATTTTTAACTTCTTTAGGTGAACATTGTTGATTGTTAGCTTTTACTTCACTGGTTCTTAATTATCTTCATTCAAAGCTCTACTTTAAAAAATGTAGTAATACAAACGTGGATTGATGTCCAGCAAGATCAAATATCACATTACTTAACTGGATTAATTTTGCAGCAGACCCAGCATCCACATCCCTCTGGAGTCTGCTGTCTTTCCCCATATCCTTACTGCTTCCTTTGTTTCTGCTCTCCAGGCTTTAAATGTGCTTTGCTGCCTCACTTCTGCAACTTTGTTCATGATAGACCCCTTCACGCTTAAGTGACTTGTGTCTCCTTTTGACATGCCTACAACTGATCCCATCTTCAAGGTTTAACTCAAGCCCCATCTATACCAGGAAACTTTTCTGACTTCTGACAAGACTATCTCCATGACCAAACTTTGTCAGGCTCCTCCAGGCCCTCTTCTTAAGTAGGCGTCACCCTTGGCCCCCATCCTTGACAGCGCTGCACAGACCAGTTTTAGCAAGAGTCTTGCTTAGTCAGTCTAGAGAGAATCCCCTCACCCTGATGTCTGATCACCCTGCCTGCCTCAGTAAGAATCATGTTATGTCCGCTTAGCAAGAATTCCTTCTAGCCTTGATGTCTCCTGTTAGTAATTTTCCATCCACCAATCCCCCAGCCTGCTTCTGTCTATAAGTCCTCACTTGTTCTTTGTATCCTGAGTTGACCCTAATCTTTCTTTCCCCATGCAATTGTCTTGACACCTATCACAATAGTCTTTTTTACTATTTAAACAAGGATCGGAATAATTTTTTCTTTAACACTTCTTGCATGATTCAGTTACTGCCTTGCTTGGTATCTCTTTTAGTTCCTCATATATATGAACTTATTCTTCAGTACCTGTTGAAATGTTACAGCTTCTTTTCTCCCAGAGTTTGGCGAGCAGGAGGGAGTGTTACAGCTATTTTACTCTCACAGTTTGGTGAGTTCTGAGTTCTTGTCTTATGACCAAAAGGAATGAGGTACACAGACACTGGAGAATGAGTAAGTCAGAGTAGAATTTTATTGAGCAACAGAAGGAAAGCTCTCAGCAGCGAGAGGGGACCCAAAAATGGGTTGCTGGCTGCAAGCCTGAGTCTGGGGTTTTTATGGGCTTAGAATGGTCAAATATGTGCTGATTGGTTTATGGATAGGCTTGAGAAGATCACCATTCAGAAAGAGAGATGATAGTGTAAAGAACCAATTGGGGGCTGAAGTGAAGGCTTGGCCTGGGACCAATCAGGAGCTGAAGTGAAGCCTTGGCCTGGGACCAATCAGGGGCCAAGTGTACTGAACGAGAATGGACATTGTCACTCTGGTCACTGGACTCCATCTGGAACTGATAGTTTGGTGTTCAGACTTCAAAATGTCCTTGGCTTGAAGGTCGAGTTTCACTGGGAACCCGTTCCTGTCTGCCTAGGAATTTGTCTGCCTCCTATTGCTATCAACAGTACTGTAAATAGATGCTCAGTTAATAAATGTTACCTGTGTAATGATTGGAAAATGTTTTGGAACATTCCAATCAGGCTAAGGTTGATGAGACAAGACTAACAGATGGACTTTTGGGATAGAGATTTGTTGTCAGGACATGGAGGGTCTTCAACTGAACATTTGGATATAGTCTCTGTACCTGGGTTCATAGAGTAACATCTGCTAGCAGAATTCTCCTGAAGATGATTTGATTGGTTGTTTTCTGTCACTGTAAATAGAGCACTCCCACTGAACTGAATTCCAGCCAGGTAGGTTCTGCCTCCATGTGCCTGCCAGGCCTCTACACTGCTTTCTCACTCAGTCTTCTGTTGCCTAGCTAGCAAGATTGCTTTCACCAATAAATCAAAATGCAGGAGCCATGAAACATTATGAAAGAAATAAGTGTTGGGATCATTTTCCTTACAAGGAAGGTGTGTGCTTATTGGAACTTGAGGCTTCCTGGGTGATATGGTTTGGCTGTGTGTTCCCACCCAAATTTAATGTTGAATTGTAACTCCCAATGTTTGGGGAGGGACCTTGTGGGAGGCGATTGGATCATGTAGGCAGATTTCCCCGTTGCTGTTCTCATGATAGTGAGTGAGTCTCAGGAGATCTGGTTGTTTTGAAAGTGAGTAGCACTTCCCCCTTTGCTCTCTCTTCCTCTTGCTCCACCAAGTGAGGAACGTGCTTGCTTCCCCTTCGCCCTTCTGCCATGATTGTAAGTTTCTTGAGGCCTCCCCAACCGTGTTTCCTGAACAGCCTGTGGAACTGTGAGTCAATTAAACCTCTTTTCTTATAAACAACCGAGTTTCAGATATGTCTTTATAGCATGCAAGAACAGACTAATACACTGGGTTTCTACTTAAGCCCATCCACTAAAAGGATATATTATTAAACCACAGCGAAATAGATGACCAATTATTAAAGTTCTGTAGAATGTTGTTCTTGGGAAAAATTTACATATGAAAAAAACCTAGGAAATAGACACACATGTTGAAGAATTTAACTCTGAATAGTAAGATTACTATTGGTGAAAAATTTTTCTGTACTGACCAAGTATTCTGCCATAAACATGTATCAATCAGTGTTATAATTAGGATAGGACTTATTAATGTCATTCTAAAATATATTGGTTTATTTTGACGTTTGTAAAGAATGATTAGTTGAAAACCTCCAAGAATAATGACACTACTTTCAGATTAAATAATTTGATCATGAGTGTCTTGAAAGAAAAAACAGTTATAAGCAGAGTACTTTTGATGAACAAAGGAGTAGTATAAGAGTGTGGACTACACACCTTTCTTCTGTGGTTCATGCTTTAATTATTGCAACCCCACAGATAACTTAGGAAGTCTGACCACCTAGATCCAAATTGTGAACCTGCCTCTTCTAGTTGTGTGACTTACAACAAATTATTTAGCTACCCTGTGTCTCAGTTTCTTTATAAAGTGAAGACAGTGGTAGTATCTATCACACAGAGGTATTAGCGTGATTAAATGAGACAATGTAAATAAAGTCCTTGGCCCAGGGCCTGCCGCATAGTGGATACCTGAACATCAGTGCTAGTTTTGCTTTTACTTTATTTTTAGAGACAGGGTTTCACTCTGTCACCTATTCTAGAGTGCAGTGGCAAAATTATAGCTCACTACAGCCTTGAACTCTTGGACTCAAGTGATCCTCCTGCCTCAGCTTCCCAACTAGCTGAAATTAAAGGTGTGAGCCACCTCGCCTGGCTCTATTTTTGAATTAAAGACTGTTATCTTGATTTTAAATTTATTGACTGTGTATAAAACCAGTTCATTCAAAATCAGGCTGATTTGTACTCTGGCTTGCTTGGTAGGTTTTAGAAGTAACACTGGCATAGGTCTTCTCTTCTCTTCTCTCCTCTGGCATAGGTCTTCTCTTCCCTCCTCTCCTCTCCTCTCCTCTCCTCTCCTCTCCTCTCCTCTCCTCTCCTCTTTTCTTTCTTTTTTTTTTTTTTTTTTGAGATGGAGTCTTGCTCTGTTGCCCAGGTTGGAGTGCAGTTGTGCGATCCCAGCTCACTGCAATATCCATCTCCTGTGTTCAAATGATTCTCCTGCCCCAGACTCCAGAGTAGCTGGAATTACAGGCGCTTGCCACCATGCCTGGCTAATTTTTGTATTTTTAGTAGAGATGGGGTTTCACCATGTTAGCCAGGCTGGTCACGAACTCCTGACCTCAAGTGATCTGCCTGCCCTGGCCTCCCAGAGTGCTGAGATTACAGGTGTGAGCCACTACGCCAGGCCAGCACAGGTCTTTCTTATACCAGTTATATATAACGCTTAGAATTTGTTCTTTTTAAAATCTATTTAGCTCTTCAGTTATATATGAAGTAATATAAAACCTGATCTTCAACATGTGTAGGTAGTTCTTTTTCAACTTTATATTTAATTGAATAACTTTTTAACTTGATAATGGTCTTGCCTATAAGACAGTTCATTTTGAGTGACACCCTTATTTTTAGAACAGACCTTTAGATTCAGGTAATCAGTGATGCCATATAGCATTGTTCTCTAATCCTTTTTTGTCATAAAAGCCTTAAAGTAAATAATTTTGGCTTTTCTTGATATTATTTTTAATTTCATTTTGAATATATTCAATGGTAACATTTCCTATAAGTATGCAAGTAATACATTTTTATTGGGGAAAATAAAAATCACTCATAATCCTCTTGTCTTAATATCTCTCTATTACTTTCACCAGGCTACTGTGAAATTTTCTTTCTTTATTCTCCAAGGGCCTTTGCAGGCAACCAGAAAAAGAAAATACTCGCTTAAAATTGTGGTTATAACTTAAACTTCAGGGGTGTGTATGTGTGTTTTGGTCTCTATTAGAATGGGTGGAGAAGAGTCTGAACTCTGAATACCCCTGCCTTAATGACCCTCGAGGGCTGTTTTAATTGTTTCTCCTGCTGTTCTAAGCTTCACTTAATTTCATATGACTATTTTTGAATGCGACATGCAAAATCTCTAGTTAATACTATTTGGCAATGAGTAGTACTTGGGGACTCCTCAGAGCCTCATGGTGGTGAATCAGTGATGTGATTTTTTTGGTGCATCTCATTTCACTGCTTTGGAGATGCTTTTTTCATGAGAGTGGAAACTTGACTTTTCTTGTGTGATCCTGGGTGTGTATGCCTCTGTTAGAGAAAGAGGGGGCATTTATGACTCTGCTCAAGAAACAGAAACAGAATGCTTTAAACACATCTTTGGACCAAGAGGCTTGAAATGCTGTAAAGTTGAGCATCTGATTTATCTGCTTTTCTTTAATCCTAGCTCATGCAATGATTCATTCTCATCGCGATGCTGTATATGGCTTTTAAAACAGAAGATTAGGAATGAATGGGTTTGACTTTGATTTTTAGATACAGTATGATATGTAGTATGTAAGAATTAGCAAGAGTTTAATAAGTAATCAAAGATTGAGGAAAAGTGATAATATCAAGAAGTATATCCATTTCTTTTCTGCTTTTCTAAAACAGTTTCTGTGGGAAAAAAAAGCTACTACAGATAAAAATCTATTTGAAATGGCAACTTGACCTCAGAATGAGAAAATTTGATTTCTCTAGAAATGTGAAATACAGGTTTTTCAAAGACCTCAGTAATGTGTTTCTCCAGACAAGTGTGCTTGAAAGTAGGACCAGAGAAAAACGAAAATACCTCCTCCTCCCCCTCCCCCTTCCCCTCCCCCTTCCCCTCCCCCTTTCTCCTCCTCCTCTTCTCATTTTCCTTCTCCTCCTCCTCTCCTTTTCCTTCTCCTCCTCCTCTCCTCTCCTCCTCTTCTCCTTCTCCTCTTCCTCCTCCTCTTTCTCCCCCCCACCCTTCTCCTACCTGGCTTCCTCCTTCCCCTTTTCTTCCTTCTTAGTTTTTGTTATTTGGTGTTTGTTTGCCTTCACAGAATTCCTTTCTTCATAGTTTTCAGTGTATGTGGGTATTATATGGTACATGTGGCATTATATGGTACATGTGGGTATTATGTTTATGTATAAAAACTCATAGAGAACTAATTAACATAGTAGGTTTCAAATCTCAGTATGTGTGAAAAATCAATCTGAAAAACTCATAAGGATCTACATTTACTTATTTTTTATGAAACTATCCCATCTCATCAAACACGGCCCTTCTCTAGTAATTTCAAGAGTATGTGTAAACAACTACTTTTTACCTCTGTGGATGACTTGGAGATTTTTCCTGTGCTTTGCCTTCTTTTGATGTGTTTGGAGTTCTTCCATTCCTGGTCCTTGATAACTTTGCCTTACTTTTGTTTAGAATTTTTCCTTCTTTCATCATTCATTTTGGTTGCTTGGTACTTTCCTGTCTTCTCTGTTAGCTGGTAATCTCCTCAAGGGCTGTATGCATGTTATTTCTTGCTCCACCTGGAACAATTCCTTGCATCTAGGAAGTATTTCTCTTCAAAGTCCTGAGAAGTATACAACCCATAGCCCTAAAACTCCAGAAGGTTAATGTATTAAAATGGATGATTAAAGTCTCTCAAAACCGAACAATCAAACATCAAAGCAGATAAGCACAAGTCATCTCAATGAGAGAAGTGGAAGAATTAGAAACCGAGTGTGAGCTCGGCTTTAAAGTTCACACACACAGGGGTCATGGGGATAGAAAGGTCACAGAAGAAGTGCAAGCACTCACCTCCTGATATCATTGTTTCCAGGGAGAGTTAGTTTCAGGCATGAAAGTGCAGAACAAATGTAGATGTGAATTAAATTAACAAATGTCTTAGGACATTTGATAGTACTTTGGTTCTCTTTGGAGTTCTGATTGAAGACTTGAGATGACTGTTGCACAGAATTTTAAAGAAATTTGGAGTTGAAACTGTTTCATCACTGTCCGTGATCTTTGAGGATCTATGAAAAATTGGAGAGGCATTAGCAGTCTTGAGATGTCCAAACCTTTACAGAAGACGATAAATCTATGAACCAGAACCGAAGGAAATGGTGTGACATTCCCCTTGCACGCTCTTCTTGTTCCCCCTTCTCTAATGAAAATACTGTTCCGATGGTTTCTCAACAATTAGAAAGCAAAATAGTGACACGAAGTTAGTTAAAAAAAAAAAAAAAGTCATACTTAAATAACCTTAATTCCTTGTTTGGATCAGATTTTTAAGCTAGTAGACTTGCAGAACACTGTAGCTATTATATATCTGCTTATTTTAAAAATGTTGCTAAATGTTCCCAGTTATGTTCTGGTAGATAAGAGGATCATAGGCAGTTGGATGATGTGCTGTTGCTGGTGGTGGATCTAAAACAGGCTGTTCAGCTATACCTGAGAGTAGTAAGTTTTCCAGTAAGGTGCTGTTTCAGTATCTCTTTTACGTGGTAAGGACTTGGCTCATTTGTTTACCACTGAGCTTTCAACTATGAGGACACTCAAAATAGTTGAAAAACTTTTGAATGTTTATAGTAAAAAGGCGACTTCAGTTTTGGAGAGACCAGGCAAAGGAAGAGAGGCAGTGAGAAGCTGGTGTTGGAACCTGAAGGTTTAACACAATGATTTTCAGTCCTGGTTGCACGTTAGAATCACTGCGGGTGTTTTTACAAATACAGATGCTAGGACTTTACCCCACACCAGTTAAATCAGGGGCAGAGCTAGGCATTGTTGTTTCAAATCTCCTCTGGTGATTCTGATATGTAGCCAAGGTTGAGGACCTGTACCTTGTCATCTGTGCAGCTGCAAAAGCTCGGCCCATCCCTCTCCATGCTTTGCCTAGTGCACATAGGGGCAGCTGTGCCGAGCAGCAGCCAAAACAGTAGCCTCTATTCCACTGCTTCCAAGAGACTGCCAGGATGGAATCCTCTGTGCCTCACATCACTGTGTCATATCCCAGGCACTATCCAAAGTAAAAAAACTCCCTGATCATCCACTATGCCTCAGACTGCACCCTCATATTTCTTCTTCCCTTTTGTTTTTAACCATTTGCAAGTATCATGTTTCTTAATGTGTGCCCCACACTGTCCCTTTCCTCCATCCTTTAGGCTCTTTCCATGTGTTCTAGATATAGAACATCATTCTCTGATCAGGAAATTCCTACATATTTTCTACCTCTTCTCTGAGTGTTTACTTCTGCTTTAACAGAAAACTGGCTGTCTCTTGCAGTCCCCCAAGTAACTCATAAATTTATATGTCTGGCCTAGATTTTTCTACTGAGATCCAGACTCATAAATACCAATGCTTCCTTTATGTCTCCAGTTGGATGTTCCCAGACTAAGATCTTTTTCCCAAACAGAACTCTTGATACATTTTGTCTAAATCTTTCATCCTTTAATTTCACTCATTTCAGTAAATGATACCTACATCCACTTAGATGCTAAAATCAGGAAGTAATGGAGTCATCCTTTATAATTTCCGTATCCCAATTCAGTTTATCCTAACAGCCTGTTTGTTCTGTCTTCAAAATACCATTTTCCTTTTTTCCCATTGCTCTTACCAGTACCCTGGTGAGAATAGCCACCAAGTTTCACCCAGAGCCCCACAACAGCTTTCTGACTGCCCTTCCGGCTCCCACTGTGTGCTCCTGCAGGAATTCTCCACACCATAGCGAGTGAGCTGCAGACACAGAAGTTAATCATGCTGTTACCCTTCTTAAGATCTTTCAGTGTTTTTTGTATCAGTCCTTTATGCAGCCCAGAAGGCCCTTCGTGATCTGGCTCCTGTCCTCTCTAGCTCTTCCACCCACACCTCACTAGCTCTATCCTTCTTCCCCCATTTTTTCTTTCCCTTCCTCCTTCTCTTCTTTATTTTTGTTTAACACATCACATTCTCACCCTCTGAGCTTTTGTGCAGGTTGTTCCATCTGCCTGGAATGTTCTTGGTTTATTCTTTTATCTTCCTTTTTTCAGCTTAATCCTTTCCTGTGGAATGTAAAAATTGACCGACCTTCCTTCCTTCCTTCCTTCCTTCCTTCCTTCCTTCCTTCCTTCCTTCCTTCTTTTCTCTCTCCTCTCTCTTTTCTCTCTTTCTTTTCTTTCTCTCTTCTTTTCTCTTTTTTAAGACATGGGCAACTGGACACGGTGGCTCACGTCTGTAATCCCAGCACTTTGGTAGGCCGAGGGGTGGATCATAGTGAGTTCAGGTGTTCGAGACCAGCCTGGCCAACATGGTGAAACCCCGTCTCTACTACAGATACAAAAAATTAGCTGGGCGTGGTGGTGCATACCTGTAATCTCAGTTACTCGGGAGGCTGAGGCAGGAGAATTGCTTGAACCCAGGAGGCAGAGGTTGCAGTGAGCCGAGATTGCGCCATTGTACTCCAGCCTGGGCAACAGGGTGAGACTCCGTCTCAAAAAAAGAAAAAAATATAAAAAGATGTGCATGCTGTGTTGCCTAGGCTGAAGTGCGTGGTACAATCATAGCTTGCTATAACCTTGAACTCTTGGGCTCTAGTGGTTCCCCGACCTCAGCATCCTAAGTAGCTGGGACTACAGGCACGTGCCACCATGCTCAACTATTTTTTAAATTTTTGTAGGGAGAAGGGATTTTGCTGTGTGGCCCAGGCATGTCTCAAACCCCTGGTCAGAAGTGATCTTCCTGCCCCAGCCTCCCTATTTCTTTTATATAGCGTGCTGAGATTTTCCCTTATCACATTTATACCAATGCATATTGTATTCTTTAAAAAAGAACTTATTATAGAAAATAACTAGTAGAGAGCATAGTCATAAACTTCCATGAAGCCATCACCCATCTTCAAACATGGGCAACTCATGACTGATCATATTTCATCTATATTCATTCCCTGCAATTATTTTGAAAGAAAACCCCGGACCTTATATTACTTTATATTAGATTTATTTTTTGAAAGATAAGCATTGTGTTTTAAAACACATGACAATACTATATGATAACATGTAAAAAGTTAAATGTTCCTTAATATCAACTATACAGTATTAAAATACACTTTGTTTGAATCCAGAAAAATTGAGTCTATACATTGCAATGAATTGCAGTTACATGTCAATCTTTTAGTCCATGGGTTACCCCTACCATGCCTTTTTTCCCCTTGAAGTTGATTTGTTGAAGAAACAGATTAATTTCTCCTATAGAGCTTTAGAAGTCTGGATTTTCCTTATTGTTTCCTAATGGTGTTATTTAACTTGTTCCCTTATGCCTTTTAAATAAGTAGTTAGATTTAGACTTGGTCAGAATCTAACTGTTGATAATCTACTAAGTGATTATGGTTAGCAAAATGGTGATATTCAAATTCTGTCTTTCCGTCTTCATTTGTTACATGCAGTGCATCTATAGAGAAACTTCCTCAAATCAACTACAATATTTAATTATACTGAGGTACAGTGTATATGAAAGGGTATGAAAGGGAAGGAAAATGTTTGATATATTCTGTATTTAGAAAGTTTTAAAGTAATGAAATGATTCTGTAATACCCTCCAAAATGACCAATTAGGTTTTTTATTTCATTTTAAAACTTATAAATTTATTTATTTATTTTTATTTTTATTTTATTTTATTATTATTATACTTTAAGTTTTAGGGTACATGTGCACAATGTGCAGGTTAGTTACATATGTATACATGTGCCATGTTGGTATGCTGCACCCATTAACTCGTCATTTAGTATTAGGTATATCTCCTAAAGCTATCCCTCCCCCCTCCCCCCACCCCACAACATTCCCCAGAGTGTGATGTTCCCCTTCCTGTGTCCATGTGTTCTCATTGTTCAATACGGTGTTTGGTTTTTTGTTCTTGCGATAGTTAATGAGAATGATGATTTCCAATTTCATCCATGTCCCTACAAAGAACATGAACTCATCATTTTATATGGCTCCATAGTATTCCATGGTGTATATGTGCCACATTTTCTTAATCCAGTCTATCATTGTTGGACATTTGGGTTGGTTCCAAGTCTTTGCTATTGTGAATAGTGCCGCAATAAACATACGTGTGCATGTGTCTTTATAGTAGCATGATTTATAATCCTTTGGGTATATACCCAGTAATGGGATGGCTGGGTCAAATGGTATTTCTAGTTCTAGATCCCTGAGGAATCGCCACACTGACTTCCACAATGGTTGAACTAGTTTACAGTCCCACCAGCAGTGTAAAAGTGTTCCTATTTCCCCACATCCTCTCCAGCACCTGTTGTTTCCTGACTTTTTAATGATCGCCATTCTAACTGGTGTGAGATGGTATCTCATTGTGGTTTTGATTTGTGGTTTTGATTTGCATTTCTCTGATAGCCAGTGATAGTGAGCATTTTTTCATGTGTTTTTTGGCTGCATAAATGTCTTCTTTTGAGAAGTGTCTGTTCATGTCCTTCGCCCACTTTTTGATGGGGTTGTTCGTTTTTTTCTTATAAATTTGTTTGAGTTCATTGTAGATTCTGGATATTAGCCCTTTGTCAGATGAGTAGGTTGCGAAAATTTTCTCCCATTTTATGGGTTGCCTGTTCACTCTGATGGTAGTTTCTTTTGCTGTGCAGAAGCTCTTTAGTTTAATTAGATCCCATTTGTCAATTTTGTCTTTTGTTGCCATTGCTTTTGGTGTTTTAGACATGAAGTCCTTGCCCATGCCTATGTCCTGAATGGTAATGCCTAGGTTTTCTTCTAGGGTTTTTATGGTTTGAGGTCTAACATGTAAGTCTTTAATCCATCTTGAATTAATTTTTGTATAAGGTGTAAGGAAAGGATCCAGTTTCAGCTTTCTACATGTGGCTAGCCAGTTTTCCCAGCACCATGTATTAAATAGGGAATCCTTTCCCCATTGCTTGTTTTTCTCAGGTTTGTCAAAGATCAGATAGTTGTAGATATGCGGCATTATTTCTGAGGGCTCTGTTCTGTTCCATTGATCTATATCTCTGTTTTGGTACCAGTACCATGCTGTTTTGGTTACTGTAGCCTTGTAGTGTAGTTTGAAGTCAGGTAGCATGATGCCTCCAGCTTTGTTCTTTTGTCTTAGGATTGACTTGGTGATGCGGGCTCTTTTTTGGTTCCATATGAACTTTAAAGTAGTTTTTTCCAATTCTGTGCAGAAAGTCATTGGTAGCTTGATGGGAATGGTATTGAATCTATAAATTACCTTGGGCAGTATGGCCATTTTCACGATATTGATTCTTCTTACCCATGAGCATGGAATATTCTTCCATTTGTTTGTATCCTCTTTTATTTCATTGAGCAGTGGTTTGTAGTTCTCCTTGAAGAGGTCCTTCACATCCCTTGTAAGTTGGATTCCTAGGTATTTTATTCTCTTTGAAGCAATTGTGAATGGGAGTTCACTCATGATTTGGCTCTCTGTTTGTCTATTATTGGTGTATAAGAATGCTTGTGATTTTTGCACATTGATTTTATACCTGAGACTTTGCTGAAGTTGCTTATCAGCTTAAGGAGATTTTGGGCTGAGACAATGGGGTTTTCTAGATATACAATCATGTCATCTGCAAACAGGGACAATTTGACTTCCTCTTTTCCTAATTGAATACCCTTTATTTCCTTCTCCTGCCTAATTGCCCTGGCCAGAACTTCCAAAATTTAAACATACTTTATATCTTTAAATTGCAGGTATTATTTTACTAATGCACAAGTTGTCTAATTTGACAAATGGGAGCCTCTGGAATCTCTTTGACATGCCTCAGTCGTTTTTGTACTTAGATGTTCTGTGTCTGTTTCCTTGGCTAAACTATTGGCTCCTTAAATGGGGGGACTTGTCTATATTGTTTATCCTTCACTCCACACACAGGCTCATAGTCTCTCCATTAATATTTATTGAATAAGGGGTGGGATATTAAAATTTCATTAAGTGAAAGGCTGTCTTATAGAGGAAGACCTAGTTTAGTCTTTGTGGATTCAGATCTTGAATCAGAGAGTAAAACTCACAGGAAGCATTTTTGTCTCAACATAAGGAGGAACTAAATAATTTGAATTTTTATAGAGGAGTTGGGGTTCCATGAAAATGTTTTAGGGACTACTTTGATCCAGGCAGTGAGAGTACAAGGATAGACTATCAAGCCAGTGAGGATCTTTTTGTCTCCTTGGGAGCCTGGATGATTACTGAGGTTACTTTTAATTGCAAGATGATAAGACCCTAAAATCCTTGGTTGACAGATTTTATTTTTAGAAAGGTGCAAATTTGGGTGGTTTAAAATTGCTGAAATGTACATAATTTTTTCCTATGAACTTTATATGCCACTCTAATATTATGTTTCTAAATATTATGAGTTTGTATATTTGATAAAGCATTGATAATGATTAATCATGCTTTAGTAGCAATCAATTCTTTTTATAGGTAATAATTGTTGATTGAATATGCCCTTCCCTCATTTCATTAAATCTTTTTGCATTGTTAGTCACATCCTAATAAATAGCTGTTATACTATTGTTTTATTAATCTTTGGGTTTTATTCAAAAAGAAATTAATGTGTCCATTTTTGCTTTGGTTGGTTGTACTTTTGAGGTTTTACTGAAGAACTATTTGCCCAACCAATGTTCTGAAGCATTTCCCAATGTTTTCTTTTAGTAGTAAGCGTCTACAAGCAAACAATCAACAAAGTGAAGAGACAGCCTACAGAATGGGAGAAAATACTTGCAAACTGTTCAGCAGACAAGGGATTAATAACCAGAATACATAAGGAACTCAAACAAATAGCAAAAACAAAAATCCCCCCAAACCCCTAAAGATCGATTAAAAAATGGGCAAAACATTTGAATAGACATTTCTCAAAAGAAGAGATATGCATGTTCAACAGGTGTATGAAAAAATGCTCAACATCATTAAAAATCTGAGAAATACAAATCAAAACCATAGTGAGATATCATCTCACCCCAGTTAAAATGGCTTTTATCTGAAAGACAGGCAATAACAAATAGCGATGAGGATATGGAGAAAGGGGAACACTTGTATGCTGTTGGTGGGAATGTAAATTAGTACAGCTGCTATAGAGAATACTGTGGAGGAGCGTCAAAAAACTAGAACTACCATATCATCCAGCAGTCCCACTCCTGGGTGTATCTATCCAAAGGAAAGGAAATCAATATGTGGAAGAGATACCTGCACCCCCATGTTTATTGCAGCACTGTTCACAATAGTCAAGGTATGGAATCAGCTTACAAGTGTCCGTCAGTGGATGAATGGATGAGGAAAATGTGATAGATAGTACACAATAGAATATTATTCAGCCATAAAAAATAATTAGATATTGTCACTTGCAACATGGGTGGAACGGGAGGACATTAACTTCGTAAATAAGCCAAGCACTAAGACAAATAGCACATGTTCTCAGTCATATATGGGAACTAAAAAATTGTTCTCATGGAGGTAGAGTAGAATGATGGTTACTGGAGGTTGACAAGGGTCGTGGAGAGATGGAGGATAAAGAGGGGTTGATTAATAGGCACAAAAACACAGATAGAAGGAATAAGACCATTTGGTAGCACAATAGGATGACTATAGTTAACAATAATTTATTGCATATTTCAAAATAGCTGGAGGAGTGGATATGGAAAGTTCTCAACAAAAAGAAATGATAAATGGTTGAGGTGGTGGATGCCTCAATTACCATAATTTGATCATTACACTTTATATGTTTATATCAATAGCATATGTACCCTGTAAATATGTACAACTATTATGTATCCATAAGTTTTTTTAAAAAGAAATTAATTTAAGACAAACTAGTTTTAGTCTTCTTCCACTTCTCTCTGTATTACTTTGATATAGATTATGACAAGGTGTAATTACTGACAGTTTACCTTGAAATTTTAATTTATTTTTCTGGAATAAAGTATTGTAGTTAGCACTTTTAGGATATTCCTGAAGAGTAAATGTTAAACAGTGTTGAGATGACTTCTTATTCACACCTGAATCAGAATTGAATTTAGATGACAGTAACAATGTCATGAATATTTAGTTAAGTTTAATTTTTGAAATATGTATGTAATACAGTATAGTGAGCATTTTAACTAGCATATAAAGAGGGAATTAATAAATGAAACACTATTAATATAACTTTAAAAATATTTTTAATAACTTTGCCAAAAATCTGTAAATTCTTCTGAAAATATTGTCCTTGCCCTACTCCAGCATTCTACTGTCACTCCCTCCAAAGTATCTACATTTCCTTCTATTGCTTCTAGACCAATACCGCAAGGAAACGAGCATTGTATATGTCTGCACTTGGTATTATTTTCCTTCGCAGTTTCTCTTGAGACAAAATCATAATGGAAGAGAGAAGCAGAATATATTAAATTTCCCAGATTATATTAAATTTATTTTGGGTATATTGCTTTAATTTCCTTCATATCTTGTAGACATAATTTCTTCTAGGTGTTAGCACATGGACACTGTTTTCAGAGATGACACAGATAATATTTGTAATTTTGTTTTCTTGTGCTAAGATAGTCTATTAATTTGAAGTAACTAATGGAATAGAAGACCTTTAGGCTTTCTTTGAGAATTTTTTTCCATAAGGAAGTTCTCTTTAAGCATCATCTTTTGAAACTGGAAAATGTACTTTGAGCTAAGTGGGGAGTTTTCCTTTATTGTTTTTGCAGAACATTAAATGAACAAATGAATGGGTGAAAAAATAAATAGGCTGTTTTCTTTATTGATAACTTCTCTCAGCACTATGGGAGGCCGAGATGGGCAGATCACGAGGTCAGGAGATGGAGACGATCCTGGCTAACACGGTGAAAACCCATCTCTACTAAAAATACAAAAAAAATTAGCTAGGCGTGGTGGTGGGCGCCTGTAGTCCCAGCTACTCGGGAGGCTGAGGCAGGAGAATGGTGTGAACCTGGGAGGTGGAGCTTACAGTGAGCTGAGATCATGCCATTGCACCCCAGCCTGGGCGGCTGAGTGAGACTCCGTCTCAAAAAAAAAAAAAAAAAAAAGAGAAAACTTCTAGACCTTGCTTTACTCCCACAAGAAAATTTTATATTTACAAATTTAGGGCACACAGATGTGTGGACAGAGTTTCTGAAATTGACAGATTTGGATTTGTGCTTTGTGCTTAGAAACAGTTTGAAAGTTGGATCCCCTTTCAGCCTGGCTCTACCTGGCTACCCAGTATCCCCATGTCCTGTGCATGGAGATATTCTCCCCACTCCTGCCCAGTGCAGTTCTTCCTGGTACGGCACTTTGGAGTTCATGCCGCCTGATGGGCAGACTAAAGCAATGAGTCATGGCTCCTTTGGGCTAAGCTGGGAATGACAGTTATTGGAAAAATAAGAGAATAAGCATAAAGAATCTCTGAAATAAAATGGCTCTCTATACAGCTTAAAGCAACTACAGGCAAATTTGGCAGTAACTGCAATAGAACATTCTGTGGTAATATTAGCACAATTTAGAGCCCTTTTTATTTACCTGAATTAACGTCTCCACTGGCAATCAAGCCCTGATTGCCTTCTATTCATTAGCCTTTGATTTAATTAATAAGACTTGTTGAAGAGGGATCTTCAATGTTTTTCTGTAAACAGCTCTAATTTATTGATTCAATTTGAATTTTGTGATTATTTCAAGTTATTTAAATCAACGTTTGAATTATATGTTTGAAGTTTTCATAAAATAGGTTAAATCCACAAGATAATTAGAAGACACAATGTTCATTTTGTTTTTCATACAGTAATATATCTTTTTGATATCTTTAAAAATTTCCATTTTGTAAATGAGTTAGTAACTTAGACTGTCAAATATTTCAGGTCATATTAAACTTTAAAATAAGGCTGGACACAGTGGTTCACACCTTAATCCCAGCACTTTAGGAGGGTGAGGCAAGAGGATCACTTGAGCCCAGGAGTTCAAGACTATCCTGGGCAACATAGTGAGACCTTTTCTCTAAAATTTTTTTTTTTAAATTAGCCTGACGTGATGGCATGGCTCTGTAGTCTCAGCTACTCTGGAGGCTGAGGTAGGAGAATCTCTTGAGCCCCGGAGATGGAGGCTGGAGGCTGCAGTGAGCCATGATCATGCCACTGCACTTCAGCCTGGACAACAGAGTGAGACCCTGTCTCCAAAAAAAAAAAAAAAAAAAGGTTTAAAATATACATGAACAAAAGGTAGACTATTAAAAAATTTCTTAACGTTATTTTTTCCACAGCTGTCTTTTCTAAAAGTAGACCCAGTGACTTAACATTTTTACCAGGCTTTAGAACTGAGAGACTCAGTAGTTGTTGAGTGTTGAGACACGTAGATAAAAAGTAATTAAGAAAGGAGAAAGTCACAATGACTCTTAGGTTAAAGAGCAATTTGATAATCAGTGTAATTCTTAATGAGAAACCAATGAAGCAGTCGTAGAAAAGGGAGATGCTGATTAGTGGTCTTTGCTCAGATTATTAAAGATTAGTAAGGTTAGTGAGTGTTTTGAAACATGTCTGCTGGATGCAAAAAGGTTAATTAACAAAGCATTCTACAAATTCTTAAGGAATATAAAAACTTAAAGGAAATAAAAACTTTTCTATATGTAGATGCAGTAAACATAAAGAGACCACACCTTTTATTTATAAAAAGAAAATAAACATTTAAACCTAACATGAAAGATGTTGAAAACTTTATAAAATGTTGGTATTTTTGAAATTTTTGGAAATAATACTTTTAGTAATTTATTCTGGACTTATTTTGCAGGTATGATGAGGAAAATGTTAGTATACTATTATAACAGCATTAATATTCACCCAGTGAAATCTACTCTGTGCCAAGAAGGTCCTAGATACTGAGCACATATCAGTTGATAAAACAGGAAAAGTCCCCTTCATTTCTGGAACTTATGGTGTAGTATATATTTTAAGGAAATTTTAGTTTGAAGTGATGTAATACATAAAATCTCAGTGTCATGAACTGTTGAGATGATCATAACTTATTAAAAACAAACACTTGGAGGTTCAATTCATGGAGAATTCAGAATATGAATTCCATGAACCTAGGTCTTGTTTTTTTATGCAGTTACCATAGAAAATATTTTCAAAGACCTTTTTCACTATGAAAATAATACAAATTAGTCAGTGAAATTACTTAGGGGGAATCCATCTTTAGTTGCACTTAAAAAATGAGTGTTGATTCAATTAAAGGCTGGTGTCCTTTCAGTGTGTTACAAGGCAAACATAGTTTCATGCCTGAGAATGTACTTCAAGTACACAACCTACAGAAGCATGCGGTTCCTATATTCCAGAACTCAGTTCACAATACGTGATATATAAAAGTTAACGCTCTCAAGAGAAATGGAAAGCTCTGCGGGAAAAAGGTTGTGTGTGTGTTTTATGGGTGAGGGGAAAATATCTGTAAATGAGGGGAAAATTCCAAGCAGTTCCTGGAATCAGTTACTGCCTCCTCAGGGAGCCAGTGATGAGCTCAACTGGGCTGAGAAAAATTCATGCAGTTATCAGCACTAACTGCATCCCAGCCTCAAGCCCTGCCAAAGTGCTTAGTCCTAAAAGATGAAGTGAAGAGTACAAGGTGCAGTCTCCAGCTGAACCCCATGTGCATAGTAATTTTTTTTGCCTGCATCTGGGTACCTAGAGCACAAACAGGATTAGAAAAATCAAGAAAATATACTCAGGAGAAGAAGTTGCAGAACAGAAAAGCAGCAGGCCTGTCCTGTCTGCTAAAGCAGAAGGAAAAAGAAACACAACTCCTGACCTTGAGGAGATGGTACGTTGTGGAGCCTTATAATCAGGTCTCCCTATCCCATTACTGTAACCAATAATAATGTATTTCCGCAATCAGTTCAATGAGAAATGCCACTAGGATGGTTCAACTATGATGAAGTCCTTGTTCTTTTGGGTTTTATGTCTATGGCAGTTTTTTGAGCGAAAGCAGACCAAATAGATGTAGGTTTAAAAAAGAGACATTCAAATTCTTTCAAACTCAGACACTGGATTCTCTGGCCCACATAAGTTCTCCTTTGCTAGTTCTTTAACCTCTAGAGATTTTTGGTAGCCATTTAAATTGCAACAAGAGACCATTTTTGACCTATTAAATTGGCAAAATCAGACACTGAGAACATATAGTGTAGGTGAAGGAGGAGAGGCAGGGGAGCTCTATTTGGTATAGGAAAGGATACCAAATATTTATATTGGTATCCTCTATGTAGGATGCTTCTCCAATATTCATCAGAATTGGAGATCAGAAATGCACATACCTTTGACCTTGCAATGGCACTTTTAGGAATTTAACTTACGGACATATTTTTACAGGATGGAATTACACATACAAGAATATTTATTACATCATTGTAGTAGCAAAATTTGGGAACAAGCTACATAGCTATCAACAGAGGACTGGGATTAAACTTAGTATGCTATACTCATACATAAGAACACCCTGTGGTTTTTGAAAGCAAAAGGCAGTTTTCTATGAATTTATGTCACCAAAATATGTTGTTAAGTGTAAACAATATAGAGTGTACTCTGTATTGTATACCACTATTTGTGTATGTGTGTATATTTATGTGTATATATATGTGTGATACATATATATGTAAGTCTATATATCTTGTACCTTTTACATTTTTAATACAGTTGTCTCTCCATGTTTGAGGTTTCTGCATCTAGATTCAACCAAATTTGGATTGAAAATAATTGGGAAAAAAGACATAATATAACAATTAAAATGATATGTGTAAAAAATACAGTATAACAACTATTTACATAGTGTTTATATTGTATTAGGTATTATAAGTACTCTAGAGATGATTTAAAGTATATGGGTGGTGGGCACAGGTTTTATGCAAACACTACAGCATTTTGTGTAATAGACTTACACATCCTCAGACTTGGTATCAAAGGGGATCCTGGAACCAATCCACTGAGGATTATATGTGTGCTTTTGTTTTTTCCTATTTTAATTAACAAACAAACCAAATAAAGTATGGTTCTAGGCCCAGTGTAGGTAGAAAATAGAACAGTCAAGGAGGGGACTAATATAGATAGTTATGTCTTTGATTGATGGCAGAAATGACTGGATAAAAAGTTAACTCCATAGCACAATCTTACTTTTAATTGGCGCCAACACATATTTAGAATGTGTCTGGAAGGACCATCTGCTTTGGATAGGTCTTGTGTAATCTTGTAATGGTAAAATATTCATAACTTTTTTGATGACATACTGTAATATAAAGCACAACTAGACCAAATATAATTTTAGGAGGTTGTAGTAAAAAAGAAAAAAAAACAAAAAAAGGGGAATTTTTTCCTTTTTTTTTTTTGAGAGAGAGAGAAGAATGTCAAGTTTCTGTCCTTGGGAATTGAATGACCTCAGCTAAAGACTGAAAATGAAGACATTTCAGCAGAAGGAACAAAGAGGGAGCTATTGGAGAAACAAAGGAACAGAGTTATTTTTGATTGCATGATTTTTAATTAATCTGAGACTAATTATCAAGTGTGGTGATTTGGTTAAATACTAGTTTCATTCTGGAAGGAACACAGTGAATCACAGAAAAATTCAGTTAAATCTTGGCCTATGCAAGTATGAATATTTAAAATGTGAATATTTATGATGATGATACAGAATTCCCAGCCGAAACCTTGCTTTGGTGGTATAATTGAATCACTGACATTTTTAGCATAAAAGTGAATTTATTTAGTTATATAAATTATAAGGAAGACAATTAGAACTATAATGGGCACATATTTTTATGAATTCACTTATCTTTCATTTCTCACAGGGTAAATGGGAAGTTGGTAGCTCTGAAGGTGATCAGGCTGCAGGAAGAAGAAGGGACACCTTTCACAGCTATCAGGGAAGGTAGGCACTTTTCCTTGTTGATATTGCTTTTGTGTTTCTATGGTCCCCGTAGCTATTTTAATATTATACACCTCTGAATATGCTGAGTTTTAAAATTACAGGATTGTATCTTTCATTAAAATGTGTAAACTGAAATTTAAAAATCAGTATCTCTTGCAGTCATGTCAAATCATGTTAAATGAAACAAGATTATCTGCTGTGTGCTCAGATGTGGAATAAAATGCTGTGCATTAATGGTGAAGCTATCTAGGTAACTGAGGAATTTTGTATGTCTGCTATCATTTACAGAGTTCCTTAGATACATATTAGTTTAACATTATTCCGTATTGATGATTTTTAAGGAAAAATCTTTAAAAATGGGGATTTGTCATGCCATCTTACTAGGCATTTGAATTTCTTTTCTTCCTTTGTTTCTATCCTTTACTGTACTTTTACTGGTTTTTCTGATTGGAAGAAGATAACATAGACATTCTTTATATATTAGGGTCATTTATGTTGTGATATTTTCCTCTAGTCTGTTATTTTCTAAAATTTCTTTTATAATGTAGTTATTTGCTACATATAAGATTTTATTTTTTATTAAATCAAATAGCTCTATCTTTGCTTTGTTACCTGCATAGAAAGGCTTTTGTATTCCAAGAGAATAAAATATCTTTTTTTTTAATCAGTGGGAACTTTTCAGTTCAGTTTAATAAGTTTTAGGATAAGTAGGTTTACCTCTACTACATTTTTAAAAGTGCAGATTATCTTGACATAAGACTTCAGTTTATTTTTGCATTGAAAGGATCACAGCTATTATTCTCTTCATCCATAACAAGATAAATTGGTGGTTTGCTGCAATAATTTATCAAGGTATTGATGAACTAAATGTGGTCTGTCACTGCTTTGGTTTGTTTCCCACAACTGTTGATATGATTTACATGTACAACTATTGATATGATTTACATGTATCATTTTTGAAAATCTTGTTTCTATTTCTACTCTCTCACCTCTTATTCTCCTTTTCATTCAATTTTAATTTTGTTTCCATCATTTATCTTTAGCGGAAACTGTTCTTATAAAGTTCATCAGTCACTTGCTTCTTGTCAAGTCAAATGTATACCTCTCTGTCTTATTTTACCCAGCCTTTTAGCAGATTGCATGGTTGAAACGGTCTCTTCTGTGACATCAGATTTTCCAAGTAGGTAGGTTTTTCTCTTAGGCTGACCTTTTCTCTGAGTTAGGGGGAGTTTCAGGACAGGAAAGGGCTTCTTTTTTTTTTTTTTTCTGGGACAGAATCTTGCTCTGTCACCCAGGCTGGAGTGCAATGGCACAATCTCGGCTCACTGCAACCTCTGTCTCCCCGGTTCAAGCAATTCTCCTGCCTCAGCCTCCTGCATAGCTGGGATTACAGGCGTGCGCCACTACGCCTGGCTAATTTTTTATTTTTAGTAGAGATGGGGTTTCACCGTGTTGGCCAGGCTGGTCTCGAACTCTTGAAGTAGTGATCCACTCACCTCGGCCTCCCAAAGTGCTGGGATTACAGGCGTGAGCCACTGTGCCTGCCTTTTTTTTTTTTTCTTTCTAATAAGCACTCTGTCCTAGGTGATATTATTTATTTCATGAGTTTAAAGAGAAGCTATAAGTTGATATCCTACACATGCATCTCTTTAGCTAAGACCTTGTCTTCATCTCCATTTCATATATCCACCTGCCTATTTGGCATCTTCTCTTGAATACAGTAGTATATAAAAAGGATACTACATCACTACCAACTGAGATTCATTTCAGGAATACAAGGCTAGTTTAATCTTTAAAAATCAATCATTGTATGACAGTCATCTCAGACTTAACACATCTGAATGGAACTCATGATCCTCCCACTATAAATGAAACCATGTTCTCCCTGTATTAGTAATAGCAGCATCCAGTGCTTCCTCTACCCAAATCTAGCCATGAACAAGCCCTGTTGATTACCTCTCTAAATGATACCTGAAATCTGTCCACGTTCTGTCTCTCCACTGCCACCCCTAGTCCAGGATACCATCAGTTCTTCCATGGACTTCTGTAATAGCTTCTTAATTATACACCTCACTTCTCTTGCCTTATTACTATCCCTTCTCTACTCTGTTAGCCGTATAATATTTTTGAAAACTAAAATCATATTATGTCAATCCCCTTATTTAAAATTGCTTCAAGTCCTATATGACTGATTTTCTTCAAACATGCTATAGAGTTTCCTGTCTCAGGAATTTTACACATGTTGTTCCCCATGGCTGGAATGCTCTTCCCTGGCTCTTTTTAGATTTAGGGGTCAATTCAAACATCCCATTTCAGAGAGAGTTTCTTTGTCCATTTATCCAAATTAGTGGCTGACCATCATTTTATGCATCTTTACTCTCCACATCACACCCTATTTTTATTTCCATTATAATTCTTATTGGAATGTGAAAATTTCTTTCCACTCTGTATATAATCTTAGTGAGGTCAGAGACCTTGTCTGATTGTTCACTGCTGTACCCTCAACATCTAGCATGGTAATCACTCTACAATAGTAAGTGACTTAAGGAAAATCATTAGGTTAGAATCTATAAATATGACAGATTATTAGATACAGTCTGTTCCCTCAAGGAACCTGCCTTGCAGGTGGGAGGTAGAACATATAAATCATAAGTTGAAGAATAATATGTGGTAGCATATTAATGCCAAATTATTTATAAAAGATTTTGAAATCTAAAAGATTGTGAAATTATTTCTAAAAGATTGTGATTTTTAAGGAAATTCTTCCATTAGTGATGGGAGGTAAAGTGTTAGCTAGGACTTGAATTAGGCATAAGATAGAAAAACAGTAAAGAGTAGATTGAGGAGAAGTGTTCCAGACAGGTATAGAAAAGGAGCTGAGACCAGAAAGCTCAATGCCTTTGCCAAGTGCAGTGAACAGGAGGAATAGTTAAGATCAGGAGTTCTCAATTGATAGAGTGGGAGGGATGGGTAATTATTGCTCCATGGAAGTGGCTTTTGTCATCACAATAATTGAACAATGCAACCATGTTTAGTGGATGAGAGCTTGGCATTTACGTGAGAAACTCTTAATACAGAGGGAGGCAAACTGTGGCTTGGGGCCTGCTGTCTGTTTTGGTAAATAAAGTTTTATTTGAACGCAGCACTCCAACTCATTTATGTATTGTCTATGGCTGCTTTCTTGGAGTTGAGTACTTTTGACAAACTGTATGGTCCCCCAAACTTAACAGTATATGCTATTTGGCCCTTTCAATAAAAGTTTGTCAGTCTCTGCTCTAATACAATAAACAATTGTCTATCGGGGGAAACCAGCCCACGATATTCAACATGAGTCCTTTTCTATTTTTCCTAAGTGTCGGATGGTCTGAGAAATAAAGGGAAAGAGTACAAAAGAGAGAAATTTTAAAGCTGGGTGTCCGGGGGAGACATCACATGTTGGCAGGTTCCATGATGCCCCCTGAGCCGTAAAACCAGCAAGTTTTTATTAGTGATTTTCAAAAGGGGAGGGAGTGTATGAATAGGATGTGGATCACAGAGATCACATGCTTCACAAGGTAATAAGATATTACAAGGCAAATGGAGGCAGGGCGAGATCACAGGACCGGGGCGAAATTAAAATTGCTAATGAAGTTTCGGGCACGCATTGTCATTGATAACATCTTATCAGGAGACAGTGTCGGGGAGCAGACAACCGGTCTGACCAAAATTTATTAGGCGGGAATTTCCTCATCCTAATAAGCCTGCGAGCTCTATGGGAGACCAGGGCTTATTTCATCCCTTGTCTACAACTGTAAAAGACAGATATTCCCTAGGCGGCCATTTTAGAGACCTCCCCTTGGCAATGCATTCTCTTTCTCAGGGATGTTCTTTGCTGAGAAAAAGAATTCAGCGATATTTCTCCTATTTGCTTTTGAAAGAAGAGCAATATGGCTCTGTTCTGCCCGGCTGTCAGGCAGCCAGACCTAATAGTTATCTCCCTTGTTCCCTGAACATCGCTGTTATCCTGTTCTTTTTTCAAGGTGCCCAGATTTCATATTGTTTAAACAATTTGTGCAGTTAACACAATCATCACAGGGTCCTGAGGCGACATTCATCCTCAGCTTATGAAGATGATGGGATTAAGAGATTAAAGTAAAGACAGGCATAGGAAATCACAAGAGTATTGATTGGGGAAGTGATAAGTGTCCATGAAATCTTCACAATTTATGTTCAGAGATTGCAGTAAAGACAGGTGTAAGAAACTATACAAGTATTAATTTGGGGAACTAATAAATGTCCATGAAATCTTCACAATTTATGTTCTTCTGCCATGGCTTCAGCCGGTCCCTCTGTTCAGGGTCCCTGGCTTCCTGCAACAGTTGTCTCATGTCCCACAAGCTTTTTTTTAATGTCTTACTGAGCATTCATGCAGGTGAAAAATCTGTTTATATTTATGAGCCCAAACCCAACTATTTTGCATATAAACAAAATATGCTGTGCACAGATTTAATATATACCAAACTATCTAGGAATACAACTACAGTGTAAATCATGGAAAAATTGTATTGTGTTTTGTTTAAAACTTTACAACTTGTTCATATTTTGGAAAAATTCCTTAGTGGCAGTGCTGCTTGTGTTATTTAATTCAATAATGCAATATCCCACAGTCTGCATTTGTAGTGGTTGTGCTTATGCTGATTCTGTACATAGATGTGAGCACCACTCTTCAGTGTGTTCCGGTATAGTTGTGTCTACTTACATATTTAAAGACTTTGTTTTATTATAAATTAATTTTTATTTATTTTTTGTATTAGTTACATATAGATATAAATTAATATATTTGAAATTATATTTATATATAAATATTTGAAATTATGTATGTGTATCTTGTTATATATGAATTCCATTTCATAGTAGTAAAGGCAAAAAAAGTAGTAAAATATTTGTTATATAAAGAGGGTATTGGCTTTGATGGGATTGAAAATGACTGAGGTAGAACAATAGGTTTTTGTTAAGCTGTGGAGGGAGATAAGGTTAAAAGTGCTACTGAATTTAATTATACAGTAGACCCTGAATATGAGAGAGGAGAGGGACAGGGACTCTGGGCCAAAAAGGAACCAGAAGAAAAATGAAACTGGCCAGCAGGCAGGATTCCTGGTATGCAGGGTGTGCACTAGAATTAATCAACCTAATCTTACTGTTGGTGCTAGTCTTGGTCCAAGGTGACAAGAAGGTTCGTAGTGGTATTGAAGGACCAGTGTGACAAGCAGGCCCATCAGTGGGAGGTTCAAGGGAAGAAGCAAGTAGGATCACATTGAAGTTGTTGATGATCTTCTTATTCACTTTGGCTGGGTGTGAGGCAAGCTCCTGAGGCACATTAAAGGTTAGCTTCTGGGAAACACAGAGAAGCGGGGAATGCAATGAATCCTTAGCACACTGAGACCTGGCTTTGACTGGCAACATAATTTCATTTTAAGCCTTGAGATGAGCTTAGGAACTGGCCCTCAGTTGCGGTTGTGTTGTAGAATGCAGGGCTGTGTAGGTGGGATCTTGTTCTGTGGGTTAGAGAGCCTCTGAAGACTTTAGAGTTGGGCATATTAGGGACAAAAATCTGATATTCAGATAGGATATCAATTAGAAAAAGAAGAAACTGGAAGCTGATAAGTCAGTCATTCAGTGTGTTGCAGATTTGAAATTATGGGTTTATTAGATGTTAGTAACAAAAAATAATATTCTATAGAAAGAGATGTCAGAGCTAGGTGAAGTATTGATTACAGATTGAGAGGAAAATGTCAATGGTTTTGAGTTTGACTGAGTGAAAAAATAGGGCCAGAGATAGAAATAGTTGGTGATTGCATGGAGAATTGCTTTTAAGACTTTACAGTTTAAAAGGCTGTTATCCGATATAATCTTCATATGCTAGCCCTTTGAAAAAGTTTTAAATTTTTATTTTGTAGAATTTATATTGTTTATAGAACCTGTATTATAAATATGGAATTAAGGCTCAGAGGGGTTAGATGACTTGTCTAAGGAGCAGGATCTTGTACCTAGACCTTGTTAGATTTCAACAGGGTCATTACTGACATTTTGGAGTAATCAATTTGGGTTTTAGGGATTTTGAGCTCATGAGACATCTGTATGAAAATGTCTTGTTGGGAATGTGGGAGTGCAGCTCACAAGAGTTTAGCGTAAGTAGTATATATGTACCATGGTCGTTAAGAAGTTGAACCATGTATAACATTTTTGTGGAAGCGAATGTTGAGTGAAAACAGAGTCAGTTACAAGGCAAGGTAGAAACTCCCATGGGAAGCTGGAGGTGATTTCTCTTATGTTGTACAGTGATGAAAAAGTCAGAATCAAAACCTACTGATTTGTGTATGTTGATTTTGTATTCTGCAACTTTACTGAATCGACATACACAGATCAGTAGGTTTTGATCCTGACTTTGTTTTTCATCCATGTACAGTATAAGATAAGCCACCTCAATTAGTTTGCTAGGGCTGCTGAAAAAAAGTACCACAGCCTGGGTAGCTTAAACAACAGAAACTTAATGTCTTGCAGTCTTGGAAGCTGGAAGTCTGAGAGTAAGGTGTCATGGCCCTCCAAATGAGGGCAATGAGGAAAGATCTGTGCCAGCCACTCTCCTTAACTTGTAGATAGTGGTCTTCTCCCTGTGTCTTCACATCATTTTTCCTGTGTACCTGTCTGCATCCAAATTTTCTCTTCTTACAAGGACAATAATCACTTTGGTTTAGGGTCCACCCATATGACATCATTTCAACTTAATTACCTTTTTGAAGACCCTATCTCCAAATACAGTCCTATTCTAAGGTACTAAAGGTCAGGACTTCAACATGAATTTTTTGGGGGGACACAGTTCAGCCCATAACAGCACTTAATGGCTTTGGGCCTTAGTAACCCTACGTATTAATCCATTCTTGCACTGTTGTAAAGAAATACCTGAGACTGAGTAATTTCTAAAGAAAAGAGGTTTAATTGGCTCATGGTTCTGCAGGCTGTACCAGAAGCACAGCATCTTCTGGAGAGGCCTCAGGAAACTTTCAATCATCCTATAAGGCAAAGGGGAAGCAGGCACGTCTTACATGCTGAAGCAGGAGGAATAGAGAGAGGGAGGAGGTCCTATACACTCTTAAACAACCAGATTTCATGACAGCTCACTGACTCACTATTGATATGACAACACGAAGGGGGATGGTGTTAAACCATGATAAACCACCCCAGATCCAATCACCTCCCACCAGGCCCCACCTCCAATAATGGGGATTACAATTCAACATGAGATTTAGGTGAGGGCACAGACTCAAACCATGTCACCCTACTTGCAAAAAATAGGAGTTGGATTATGCCATCTCTTAAGAACTACTTTGGCGTTGTGGTTTTGATTTCCCAAAGAATCTTTAAACTCAGAATTTGGAATGTTCTGGAGATCAGGGAATGATAGAAAAATAGTTGGGGCCTTGATCACAAAATGGCATTTTATTTTCTATTGAATAAAATATTTTAATGTCTTTCTAATAAAGTCTGACTTCTGAGTGATTTTTTTTTTTTTTGTAGCAGTAAATGACTTCAAGGAAGAGAAATTAAACTCTGGGTCAGTTTTTGTTATTTGTTTTTTTCTTGCCTTCTCATTCTGCCTTTCATATTCTTATTTTTCTGCTGTTTATATCTGGAAGCAAAAGGCATCATCATTGCTTAGCCTTTCCCCATTAATACTTCTGGAAGTCCAGACACAATAACTCCTCTGTGTATCTAATGGTAGAATTTGAAATATTTAGGGCAATGTGGGAGACATTTGGGATATGTTCAATTTTACATTGATGAGGAAGCAGCATGGTGTGTTCAACTGAGATAGAACACCTGAATTTGAATTTGCCCCTCTTCTGCTGTGTTGATCAATTTCTCATTTACAAAATATCAACAGCGGGAAGATTTCAGAATAGGAAAGCACCATGCACAGTAAAGTAGTTTGTAAGTGGCTACTTGCCACTCACAGGCTTACCTAGAAACTTGGATTTTAGGGCGTAATTTTCACCTCAAGTGGAAATACTTGAAGCAACTCTAATCTAACCTAGATTTATGTCCAAAGATGTACTTTGAATTTTATCTCTCATTGAGCTAGAGTGTGTAATGGATTAATTCAAGTTCAGGCGCTTTGAAACTCATTCTGTCCTCGATGGCAGCTTGGAGAAATTAAGTTGTAGTGCTCAGGGTCAGCTTTTCTATTTTAATTTAGAATCATTATATGGCATCATCTTGGTTTATGAGGAACAGATAAAGGGCTGGGAGATACAGGAGAGGTTTGAAAGACAGTGGATAAAATGTCTTAGGATATTCCATCTTTCAAACAACTTTTAAGTGTTAAGTGTGTATGTTCTTACTCTCTGATATTGTATTCTAGACTTCCACGTTTTTTGTTGTCTTAAGATTTTCTTAGACAGGCATGAGGTGAATGAACCAGTTGTCTCTTTTCATAGATTCTTGAATATGTGATGGTTTTCTTAGGTGAGAATTATGCTTAAAGAGAAATCTAGATACTCTAATAGGGAACAAATTTAAATTAAAATGGTAGCAGTATAAATAGACAATATTTGGTGTGTGCTTGCACAGCCAGAGCCTAGTCTCACTTAACACTCACAAAACCCTCTAAGGTAGGTACTATCATTATTGCTATTTTGAGGTTAGTAAAGTTAGGATTGGAGAAGTCACTCACCTAAGGTTAACGCTAGCATGTGGTAGAGCTAAAAGCTGAACCTGGCTGGGTGCGGTGGCTCACACCTGTAATCCCAGTACTTTGGGAGGCGGAGGCAGGCGGATCACCTGAGGTCAGGAGTTTGAGACCAGCCTGTTCAACGTGGCAAAACCCCGTGTCTACTAAAAATACAAAAAAATTAACCAGGTGTGGTGGCGGGCACCTGTAATCCCAGCTACTAGGGAGGCTGAGGCAGGAAAATCACTTGAACCTGGGAGGCAGAGGTTGTAGTGAGACAAGATCGCGCCACTGCGCTCCAGCCTGGGTGACAAGAGTGAAACTCCATCTCAAAAAAAAAAAAAAAAAAAAAAAAAAAGCTGAACCTGAGCAATCATACGGCAGAGCCTATACTTAAACGTTATACTCTGCTAGATTTTATGTAGAAATTTTGAATTTATGCTTCATTTTCATTTCATACAGAGGGTTGTGTTATTGCCATTAAGTCAAGGTTAGCAAAAAAGATAGGGATTTTGAGGGGGGACATGGGAAAAAATTTATTTATAAAAGTGATAACACATTTTTCAATAAAGAAAGGAAGGCAGCATCCACATAGGACAAGAAAGGGTCTAAAAGAGGAAAGGAACAAATAGATTCAACACAATATAACTCAGAGACAGTAGAAACATGTAGAGGAAAAGGGGACCTCTCATGGTAAACTCTGTAGTATTGAACTTTTTGTTTGGGTACATTCTTTTTAATACATGTCTGAGTATTCCCATGTGCTTTATCCACCTTCTCTCTCTTCCTTTCTCCACCCTTCTTTATGTATTTTTTTCATTATTCATTCTATTAGAATTCTATGGAAACATTTTAGATTTTTAATACAAAATGTGGTACCAGGAAGGCAGAGGTAGATATAAACTGAAAAAGAGATAAAGGAAAAAGAACAACTTCTTTTATTTCAAATATTTGGAATTAGTTAACCTGCTTGTAAAATGAATAATTTTATGATTTAATTGTAAAATTTGTACTGTATAATTAAAATATTCTAATAGTACAATAAATGTTATATGAATTATTGATATTACTTTTACAAATTTTTTAAAGTTATAAATTGGAAAATAAGACTGATTTTAATTGAGTCATTAAAATTTTGGTGTTTGACTGATACTTGATTCTCTACCTTACATTTTTCTTTTTTAATGTTATAGCCTATCTGTTTTTGTTGTTTTTCATTAACCATACCATTTTTCCTTGTAACTGTATGGTACAATTGCTTGTGAAGTTTGTATATGTAATTGAGTTATAATTCAATTGATAATTAACCAGTCTAGATTTCATTTCTTGCATTTCATGTTTGGGGTGTTGTATTGCTTTTCTAGGGCTTCTGTGATAAATTACCACAAATTTGCTGGCTTATTCTTTTGTAGTGCTGGAGAGTAGAAGTCCAAAATCAGGATATTGGCCAGTTCATGCTTCTTTTAGAGGCTATAGGGAAGAAATTCTTGCTAGTTTTTTCCTAGCTCCTGGTGGCTTCCTACAATCTTTGGTGTTCTTTGGCTTATCGTTACATCACTTCGATCTCTGCCTCCATCTTCACATGGTCTTCTCTCTCTCTGTGTCTTCTCCTCTTATAGGGACATCAGTCATTGGATTTAGAGCCCACGCTAATCCAGCATGGCTTCATCTTAACTTAGCTAATTATGTCTGCAAAGGCCCCATTTGCAAATAAGGTCACCTTCTGAGGTTCTGGGCTGACATAAATTTCTGAGAGACACTATTCAACCTGCTACCAGTGTTTATTTTTCTCAGTTTCACAGGGAGATTTGTAGGTCATAATGGACTGGGACCTGCATTGGACCTTTGAAAGCTTAGGAGAAAAATGTACTACATGGTGGTTTTGATAACACTCTTCTTTGTTTTCTTATTACTGAAGTTTGCATATAATAGACAATGAATGAATATAGATAACTTTCTCCAATGTGATTTATTTTTGTTTCTCTCCATATAGGCTCTTTTGTTATTGTTATTCATTTATTTTTGTTTTCAAGCAAAATATCATTCTCTGTGGATTATTGAATGACATATGAACTGTGGCTTGTGTGGAGATAGATTACATCTGTCAAGTTAGTGAGTATGATTGAGACATTGGTAGTTAGTCTGGGATTGGAAGCAGGAAGAACTGATATAATGGAGACCTCTAAAGCTACTAAGTTGCTGTGAAATGATAAAGGTCTACTTCCACAATTCTATACGTTGGCCACTGGGATTTCAGACACATTTACACAAAGACAAAATGTTCCAGGCTGTTCTGTTGGAGTCTTTTTTTATTCAGATATGCCTTTTATCCAGGTATATGGACATGTTTTTTTATCCAGATACATCTTTTTTATCTTTGAGTAGATTCCTGGGCTGTCCCATAAGAGCCTTTTTTTATCCAAATATATAGTTTTGATGATCAAATACAACCTAAATGATAAGTATATAATCATCTTTGGTTATAACTGAAATTATTTTGTCAATATCTGGATGCCTAGATACTTCTTACCCCTATCACCTTCCCAGTGGAGAGAGGACATCTGCCAAAAGAGAACTCAGGTCCTCTGTTCCCTCCCTTTTCCCTGACCTGGAGTCTCTTGCACTCAGGCTCCTGAAAGCTAAGTTGAGAGAGTGGGCACAGATGGGAAGAGGGGCTCCTGGGACATAACCTCCTTCTTTAATAGACTGGAGGGCTGTTGCAGGGAGAGGAAGAAAGGACAAACATTTGTTTCCATTTGTGTTTTGTCAATATCGCTGTTTGGAATTGTTCATCCTCTTGTAATGATTTCAAAATTAACAAGTTGATTATAGATGGAATTTTCAGTGAAACATTATGTTAATGCAACATTTGACCCTGTGTAGTAGGTGACAGGTTAAATTAGGTTTCTTCAAGGGTCTTAATAACTTTTTTTAAGACTCAAAAATTCTTTGCTCAGCCTAGACATTTCTGAATTCAGCTGTTTTATTGGCAACTGTTTTTAAAGACACTATTTGTAGCATCATTGTTGGAAGTACATGAATCCTATAAAAGCTAATTAGGAATCTAAATCAGACTTTAGAGATTACCTTGTCCAGGGGTTTCTCAGTTGCATCCTCATGGTCTTCAAGCTATGTGTTTGGTCTTACAGTAAATTTTAATAAATAGTGACCAGAAAGTGGTCCAGGGCCTGGTTTCTGAAGCCTGACTGCCTGGATTGCAGTTTGGACTTCATTCTCATCTAAGTGTATGATTTTGAGCAAGTCTTAAACTTGCTGTGCCTCATTTTCCATTTCTTAAAGAGGATGAAAATACGACTCAACTTACAGGCTTCTTGGGACATTATATCCATCAAATATGAACATGAGGCCATAAAATAGAAGCAATCAAGGAATAATGAAAATTTCTTCAAAATAAAAATACATTAACAGGTATTAAACTTTCAGAAGAACATTTGGATTGTGAACTCAGAGAAATCTCCCAAAAGGAGATCAAGAAGAGTTATCATCTCTTATGTCTTTGAGAATAAATAATATAGTTATTTGAATTTTCTTCTATATTGTCACTTTCATTTATTTCTGCTTGTGTGTTTGGTCTCTTTCTTATTGGAAGCATCTTTCAGCTACCTGGAGATCTTGTTGATTGTCAGCTCATATTTAAAAGTCAGACTTTAATACGCTGTTTGGAAGCTCTGGGTGCTTGGATAGGGAATATTGGTTGGCAGTTTTGTGATGGGGTGAGTTAACCATTTTTTTTTTTCTTGCAGTATCTAAGATGTCAGTATTTGGGGGTCGTTTCTTGGAAGGAGGCTTCAGTTTCTACAGAAAAGGATTATTTAATCTCCTGCCTGGAAGATTTCAGTTTGCTGCCCACATTGTGGGGATTGAGTAAGAGACAGAGGTTACAGGGGAGTCTCAACCTTCAACATGCAGATTTTTATTGAATTTACCTATTTTCAGTTCAGATTATGCAGTGTTAGAGAGACAAAAAGGCACCCAAATATTTAAGGCAAAAAATTAATGGGCCTCTAAAAAGGTTTTGGCAGTAGGGATAGATAGGAGATAAATATGTTTGGAAGGGACTTAAGAGGGACACTTGGTAGGGCTTTGTGTTTGACTAGACATGGAGCTTGATGAAGGTGGGGTTAGTCAGGGTGACTTCCAGGATTCTGGATTGGGTAATTAGGTAGATAGTGGAACCAGTAATGAGTAACTGTGGTTGGGGATAGGGGAGGCAGGTGGAGTATAAGAAAGACAATGAGTTCAATTAGTGAGTTTGAAATCTGGCATTCATGTGGCAGTTGTGTGACATGGTGGTGCAGTTTAGATAACAGGTGTTTGTTGTATCTAAATTGAGAACTTTACAAGTCATATTCGAGTATATGATCTAGTTTAATTTTTAATTCCTTGAGGAAGGTTGATGTTACCATCTTCATTTTACTAATCAAGACACTGAATTCCTTGAGGGAGGTTGATGTTACCATCTTCATTTTACTAATCAAGAGGCTGAGGTCTAACAAGATTTTTTTTGTGCAAAGTCATACAAATAATTAAGTGGTAGATATGGAGTTCACCTTGAATATTCTAACCAGGGCCTAGAACAGTGCCTGGCACATGATAGGCACTCAGGGTATGTTGAATGACTGAGTGAATGAATGAATAAGCTCCCATGTTCTTTCTTTGTATTCTATTATATGGCCTTACTATTGGGACAGAAACCCATATGATGAAAATTGTACACAGATTCTTCTCAGGCTTCCCCAGAGCAAAAAGGCGATATTGAGAAAGCTCCATAAGCGAGGAGCTGGAAATTTTTCAGTCTTGATGGAGACTGTGCCCCTAGCTATGTGATCATAAGCAAGTACTTAACATATTTTGTCTTTAGTTTTTTCATTTTTGAAATGGAGACCATATTATTTTAGAGCTTTATAATTAAAATAATATTACCAACATGAATCTTTTACCTGGAAAAAAGATCTATAATTGTATCACTATTATTCTCAATGCATACATGCAGTAATATGATGCACATTTATTGGGTTAAAATATTTTTTAAACCTTCTAACAATCACCCTTTCTGTCTGTCACTGAAAAAATTAACATGAATTGCTTAAAGCGTTTTTATAATTGACAGGCAAAAATTTTGTAAATGGAAGATAAAAATCCATGAGTCTAGACTGTAATTCTAAGTATGCTTATGTAAATTGCCACAATTGTTATTCTAAGTCTGAGTAATCTGATGGGTGTCTGCCAACTGATATCAACAAAAACTTGTCAAGTGTTAAATCATGATTAAAAACTATGAAAGTCATATGTTTTCTTTTTTATATTAATAATTTTAAAGGATAAAGTTTGTTTTTTAAAATCAAGTAACTGAATTCCTGGCTGTTTTAAATTTGTAAAAAATTTATATGACATTTTGTCCTATTTTGTCAACTAGAAATATAAATTGAGATATGATACTTTTATATTTAAGACATTTTTAGGAGGATTACATAAACAGTTCTAATCTGAATTCATGTATAACTTCTAAAAATCCCATGGACTTTTTCAGTTCCTACTTTGCCAATCTTTAAAAAACGCTATCTTGTTTGATTTTCACCAAATCTTATGTTATATGTAGGTTTTAATATATCCAAGTTACAGGTGAGGAAATTGAGGCCTAGACATAAATAAAATGTCCTGTGTTACAAAACTTGCCAGTAAATGACTGTTAGGATTTACACTGGGATTTTTAAATTGAGGTGTTTGTTCAAAGATAATACATTCTTCCATTCAAAATTTCTGGGTTAATTTTAAAAAATGATGAGAATTCGTAATGTACTTGTAAACTTCTTGTCATGATAGTAATTAACATAGCTACTATAAGTTGCTTTAAAAAAATGTAACCCATGAGCAAGGGGGGTATCTTAAAGTTCAGTTTGACATCTCAAAATCATTTAATGTAATACCATGTTAATAGAATAAAGTTTAAAAATCACATTATTATTCCAATAGATGTAAAAAATGTTCGTTACAAAAGCTAACACCTATTCGTGTTAAAGGCTTAACAAACTTTGAATAGAAAGGAATTTTCTCAACACACACACACACACACAGCCATATTTGTGTATACTAGCAATGAACATGTGGAAAACAAAATTTAGAATACAATACCACTTATAATCACTTTAAATACTTATAATAAAAAAGAAATACCTAGGGATAAATCTAACAAAACATATTTAGAATTTTTGTACTGAAAATTACAAAATCTTGATGGAAAGAAATAAAGGAAGATTAAAATAAATAAAAAGATGTACCTTGTTTATGGATTGAAGATCTCGTATTGTTAAGATGACACCTCACCCCAAATTTCTCTATTGATTTAATGTCACACCTGTCAAAATCCCAGCCAGCTTTTTGTAGAAATTGGCCATCTGAGCTACAATTATATTTCATATATTACATTATATGAAAATGTAATGAACTGGAATTGCCAGAACAGTTTTGAAAATGAACAAAGTAGGAAGACTTACACTACTTAATTTCAGAAACTTTGTAAAAAGCTACAGGGATCAAGACAGTATGTTATAGTTGTGAAAATAAACATATTGATTCACAGCATAGAATGGAAAGTTCAAAAATGAACCCTGACATTTGTGGGCAGTTGATTTTTAATAAGTTGCAAGGCAATTCAATGGAGAAATAACTTTTTCAATAAATGGTGCTATGACAATTGGATATTCAAATGCAAAAAGATATACACCCTTATATAATAATATACACAAATTTCAACTCAAAATTGATCAAAGACCTCAGTGTAGGAGATAAAAGTTAAAACTTCTGGAAGGAAATCTGGTAGAAAATTTTGTGCCCTTGGATTACACAAATATTTCATAGATATGACAGCAAAAACGTAATATATAAATGAAAATCAATAAATTGGAGTTGTCCTCTTAAAAAGACACCATTAAAGAAATGAAAAGACAAGTCACAAATTGGTAGAAAATATTTCCAAATAATATATTGGATAAAGGATTTATATTAAAAATATATAAAGAGGTCCAAAACTCAATGATGAAAAGACCCCCACAATTTTTTTAAATGGGGAATTTATTTGAATAGACATTTCAGCAAAGAAATATATGAATGGCGAAGATGGCCAAATAGGAACAGCTCCAGTCTACAGCTCCCAGCGTGAGCGATGTAGAAGACAGGTGATTTCTGCATTTCCAACTGAGGTACCAGGTTCATCTCACTGGGAAGTGTTGGAAAGTGGGTGCAGGACACTGAGTGCAGTGCACCGAGCATGAGCCAAATCAGGGCGAGGCATCGCCTCACCTGGGAAGCACAAGAGGTCAGGGAATTCCCTTTCCTAGTCAAAGAAAGGGGTGACAGACGGCACCTGGAAAATCAGGTCACTCCCACCCTAATACTGTGCTTTTCCAATGGTCTTAGCAAACGGTACACCAGGAGATTATATCCCGTGCCTGGCTCTGAGGGTCCTACACCCGCGGAGCCTCACTCATTGCTAGCACAGCAGTCTGAGGTCAAACTGCAAGGTAGCAGCGAGGCTGGGGGAGGGGCACCCGCCATTGCCCAGGCTTGAGTAGGTAAACAAAGTGGCCAGGAAGCTCAAACTGGGTGGAGCCCACTGCAGCTCAAGGAGGCCTGCCTGCCTCTGTAGACTCCACCTCTGGGGGCAGGGCATAGCCAAACAAAAGGCAGCAGAAACCTCTGCAGACTTAAATGTCCCTGTCTGACAGCTTTGAAGAGAGTAGTGGTTCTCCCAGCACGCAGCTGGAGATCTGAGAATGGACAGACTGCCTCCTCAAGTGGGTCCCTGACCCCCGAGTAGCGTAAGTGGGAGGCACCACCCAGTAGGGGCAGACTGACACCTCACATGGCCAGTTACTCCTCTGAGACAAAACTTGCAGAGGAATGATCAGGCAGCAACATTTGCTGTTCACCAATACCTGCTGTTCTTCAGCCTCTGCTGCTGATACCCAGGCAAACAGGTCTGGAGTGGACCTCCAGCAAACTCCAACAGACCTGCAGCTGAGGGTACTGAATGTTAGAAGGAAAACTAACAAACAGAAAGGACATCCACACCAAAAACCCATCTGTACGTCATCATCATCAAAGACCAAAGGTAGATAAAACCACAAAGATGGGGAAAAAACAGAGCAGAAAAACTGGAAACTCTAAAAATCCGAGTGCCTCTCCTCCTCCAAAGGAATGCAGCTCCTCACCAGCAACGGAACAAAGCTGGACAGAGAATGACTTTGACAAGTTGAGAGAAGCAGGCTTCAGACGATCAAACTACTCCGAACTAAAGGAGGAAGTCCGAACCCATGGCAAAGAAGTTAAAAACCTTGAAAAAACATAGACAAATGGCTCACTAGCATAACCAGTGCAGAGAAGTCTTTAAAGGACCTGATGGAGCTGAAAACCAAGGCACAAGAACTACATGACGAATGTACAAGCCTCAGTAGCCAATTCGATCAACTGGAAGAAAGGGTATCAGTGATGGAAGATCAAATGAATGAAATTAAGTGAGAAGAGAAGTTTAGAGAAAAAAGAATAAAAAGAAATGAACAAAGCCTCCAAGAAATATGGGACTATGTGAAAAGACCAAATCTACGTCTGATTGGTGTACCTGAAAGTGACGAGGAGAATGGAACCAAGTTGGAAAACACTCAGCAAGATATTACCCAGGAGAAGTTCCCTAATCTAGCAAGGCAGGCCAACGTTCAAATTCAGGAAATACAGACAACACCACAAAGATACTCCTCGAGAAGAGCAACTCCAAGACACATAATTGTCAGGTTCACCAAAGTTGAAATGAAGGAAAAAATGTTAAGGGCAGCCAGAGAGAAAGATTGGGTTACCCACAAAGGGAAGCCCATCAGACTAACAGTGGATCTCTTGGCAGAAACCCTACAAGCCAGAAGAGAGTGGGGGCCAATATTCAACATTCTTAAAGAAAAGAATTTTCAACCCAGAGTTTCATATCCAGACAAACTAAGCTTCATAAGTAAAGGAGAAATAAAATACTTTACAGAAAGGCAAATGCTGAGAGATTTCTGTCACCACCAGGCCTGCCATACAAGAGACCCTGAAGGAAGCACTAAACATAGAAAGGAACAACTGGTAACAGCCACTGCAAAAACATGCCAAGTTGTAAAGACCATCGAGGCTAGGAAGAAACTGCATCAACTAACGAGCAAAATAACCAGCTAACATCATAATGACAGGATCAAATTCACACATAAAGATATTAACCTTAAATGTAAATGGGCTAAATGCTCCAATTAAAAGACACAGACTGGCAAATTGGATAAAGAGTCAAGACCCATCAGTGTGCTATATTCAGGAAACCCATCTCATGTGCAGAGACACACATAGGCTCAAAATAAAGGGATGGAGGAAGATCTACCAAGCAAATGAAAAACAAAAAAAGGCAGGGGTTGCAATCCTAGTCTGTGATAAGACAGACTTTAAACCAACAAAGATCAAAAGAGACAAAGAAGACCATTACATAATGAATGGTAAAGGGATCAATTCAACAAGAAGAGCTAATTATCCTAAATATATATGCACCCAATACAGAAGCACCCAGATTCATAAAGCAAGTCCTTAGAGACCTACGAAGAGACTTAGACTCCCATACAATAATAATGGGAGACTTTAACACCCCACTGTCAGCATTAGACAGATCAATGAGACAGAAAGTTAACGAGGATATCCAGGAACTGAACTCAGCTCTACACCAAGTGGACCTAATAGACATCTACAGAACTCTCCACCCCAAATCAACAGAATATACATTCTTTTCAGCACCACACCACACCTATTCCAAAATTGACCACATAGTTGGAAGTAAAGCTCCCCTTAGCAACTGTAGAAGAACAGAAGTTATAACAAACTGTCTCTCAGACCACAGTGCAATCAAACTAGAACTCAGGATTCAGAAACTCACTCAAAACCGCTCAACTACATGGAAACTGAACAACCTGCTCCCGAATGACTGCTGGGTACATAACAAAATGAAGGCAGAAATAAAGATGTTCTTTGAAACCAACGAGAACAAAGACACTACATACCAAAATCTCTGGGACACATTCAAAGCAGTGTGTAGAGGGAAATTTATAGCACTAAATGCCCACAAGAGAAAGCAGGAAAGATCTAAAATTGACACCCTAACATCACAAATTAAAAGAACTAGAGAAGCAAGAGCAAACACATTCAAAAGCTAGCAGAAGGCAAGAAATAACTAAGATCAGAGCAGAACTCAAGGAAATAGAGACACAAAAAACCCTTCAAAGAAATGAATCCAGGAGCTAGTTTTTTGAAAAGATCAACAAAATTGATAGACCGCTAGTAAGACTAATAAAGAAGAAAAGAGAGAAGAATCAAATAGAAGCAATAAAAAATGATAAAGGGGATATCACCACCAATCCCACAGAAATGCAGACTACCATCAGAGAATACTATGAACACCTCTATGCAAATAAACTAGAAAATCTAGAGGAAATGGATAAATTCCTGGACACATACACCCTCCCAAGACTAAACCAGGAAGAAGTTGAATCTCTGAATAGACCAATAACAGGCTCTGAAGTTCAGTCAATAATTAATAGCTTACCAACCAAAAAAAGTCCAGGACCAGATGGATTCATAGCTGAATTCTACCAGAGGTATAAGGAGGAGCTGGTACCATTCCTTCTGAAACTATTCCAATCAATAGAAAAAGAGGAAATCCTCCTTAACTCATTTTATGAGGCCGGCATCATCCTGATACCAAAGCCTGGCAGAGACACAACAAAAAAAGAGAATTTTAGACCAATATCCCTCATGAACATCGATGCAGAAATCCTCAATAAAATACTGGGAAACCAAGTCCAGCAACACATCAAAAAGTTTATCCACCATGATCAAGTGGGCATCATCCCAGGGATGCAAGGCTGGTTCAACATATGCAAATCAAAAAAACGTAATCCAGCGTAGAAACAGAACCAAAGAGAAAAACCACATGATTATCTGAATAGATGTGGAAAAGACCTTTGACAAAATTCAACAACCCTTCATGCTAAAAACTCTCAATAAATTAGGTATTGATGGGAGGTATCTCAAAATAATAAGAGCTATCTATGACAAACCCACAGCCAATACCATACTGAATGGGCAAAAACTGGAAGCATTCCCTTTGAAAACTGGCACAAGACAGGGATGCCCTCTCTCACCACTCCTATTCAACATAGTGTTGGAAGCCAGGGCAATTAGGCAGGAGAAGGAAATAAAGGGTATTCAATTAGGAAAAGAGGAAGTCAAATTGTCCCTGTTTGCAGATGACATGATTGTATATCTAGAAAACCCCATCGTCTCAGCCCAAAATGTCCTTAAGCTGATAAGCAACTTCAGCAAAGTCTCAGGATACAAAATCAATGTACAAAAATCACAAGCATTCTTATACATCAGTAACAGACAAACAGAGAGCCAAATCATGAGTGAACTCCCATTCACAATTGCTTCAAAGAGAATAAAATATCTAGGAATCCAACTTACAAGGGACGTGAAGGACCTCTTCAAGGAGAACTACAAACCACTGCTCAATGAAATAAAAGAGGATACAAACAAATGGAAGAATATTCCCTGCTCATGGATAGGAAGAATCAATATCGTGAGAATGGCCATACTGCCCAAGGTAATTTATAGATTCAGTGCCATCCCCATCAAGCTACCAATGACTTTCTTCACAGAACTGGAAAAAACTACTTTAAAGTTTATGTGGAACCAAAAAAGAGCCCCCATTGCCAAGTCAATCCTAAGACAAAAGAACAAAGCTGGAGGCATCATGCTACCTGACTTCAAACTATACTACAAGGCTACAGTAACCAAAACAGCATGGTACTGGTACCAAAACAGAGATATAGACCAATGGAACAGAACAGAGCCCTCAGAAATAACGCCGCATATCTACAACTATCTGATCTTTGACAAACCTGAGAAAAACAAGCAATGGGGAAAGGATTCCCTATTTAATAAATGGTGCTGGGAAAACTGGCTAGCCATATGCAGAAAGCTGAAACTGGATCCCTTCCTTACACCTTATACAAAAAATAATTCAAGATGGATTAAAGACTTAAACGTTAGACCTCAAACCATAAAAACCCTAGAAGAAAACCTAGGCAATACCATTCAGGACATAGGCATGGGCAAGGACTTCATGTCTAAAACACCAAAAGCAATGGCAACAAAAGCCAAAATTGACAAATGGGATCTAATTAAACTAAAGAGCTTCTGCACAGCAAAAGAAACTATCATCAGAGTGAACAGGCAACCTACAGAATGGGAGAAAATTTTCGCAATCTACTCATCTGACAAAGGGCTAATATCCAGAATCTACAATGAACTCAAACAAATTTACAAGAAAAAACAAACAACCCCATCAAAAAGTGGGCGAAGGATATGAAGAGACACTTCTCAAAAGAAGACTTTTGTACAACCAAAAGACACATGAAAAAATGCTCATCATCACTGGCCATCAGAGAAATGCAAATCAAAGCCACAATGAGATACCATCTCACACCAGTTAGAATTGCGATCATTAAAAAGTCAGGAAACAACAGGTGCTGGAGAGGATGTGGAGAAATAGGAACACTTTTACACTGTTGGTGAGACTGTAAACTAGTTCAACCATTGTGGAAGTCAGTGTGGCGATTCCTCAGGGATCTAGAACTAGAAATACCATTTGACCCAGCCATCCCATTACTGGGTATATACCCAAAGGATTATAAAACATGCTGTTATAAAGACACATGCCCATGTATGTTTATTGTGGCACTATTAGCAATAGCAAAGACTTGGAACCAACCCAAATATCCAACAATGATAAACTGGATTAAGAAAATGTGGCACATATACACCATGGAATACTATGCAGCTATAAAAAATGATGAGTTCATGTCTTTTGTATGGACATGGATGAAGCTGGAAACCATCATTCTCAGCAAACTATCGCAAGGACAAAAAACCAAACACGGCATGTTCTCACTCATAGGTGGTAATTGAACAATGAGAACACGTGGACACAGGAAGGGGCATATCACACACTGGGGCCTGTTGTGGGGTTGGGGAAGGGGGGACGGATTGCATTAGGAGATATACCTAATGTTAAATGACGAGTTGCTGGGTGCAGCACACCAGCATGGCACATGTATACATATGTTACTAACCTGCACATTGTGCACATGTACCCCAAAACTTAAAGTATAATAATAATAAAAAAAGAAATATATGAATGGCTAATAAGACCATGCAATGGTTTTCAAAGTTGTTAATCATAAAGGACATGAAAATTAAAAACCACAGTGAGCTATTACTGCACACCCAGTATAACGGTTATAATTGAGGGGACCAACAATACCAAGTGTTTCATATGGAATAATGGAACCCTTAAACATAGCTGTTGGGAATATCTGCTTGTGGTACCCCCACTTTGGAAAATAGTTTGACTGTTTTTTAAAGGTTAAATATTAAATTATCATATGACCCAGTGACTTCACTCCTGGGTATTGTCTACCCAAGAGAGATGAAAACATACTTCCACATGAAGACATTTACCTAAGTGTTTCCAGTATTATTATGCAGAATAGCCAAAATCTGGAAACAAGTTAAATGTCCATCAACTGTTGAGTTGATAAATAAAATATGGTATATTTGTACAGCAGTAAAAAGGAGCTAACTACTGATAACATGTTTGAACCTCATAAACACTGTGCTAAGTTAAATAACACTTGGTTGTATATACCAAGCGTATTTTGTTTGTTTGTTTCTTTTGAGATGGAATCTTGCTCTGTCGCCCAGGCTGGAGTGCAGTGGCACAATCTCAGCTCCCAGAACTTTCCAGAAAAAGTTGCCTGGGACGAGCTGGGAGCAAGGATTGACAGTGAACTGTTACAACTCTCTGGTGTAGGGAAAATGTGTCAGTTCTGGATTGTGCTTATAGTTGGGCAACTGTATAATAATTTACTGAAAACTATTGAATTGTATGCATACAACTGGTGGGTTTTACCATGGATAAATTATACTTCAGTAAAATTGTTTAACAAAAATGACTGATCTGGCTGGGCGTGGTGGCTCATGCCTGTAATCCCAGCACTTTGGGAGGCTGAAGTGGGTGGATCACCTGAGGTCAGACGTTTGAGACCAGCCTGGCCAACATGGCAAAACCCCGTCTCTACTAAAAATATTGTAAATTAGCTGGGCACGGTGGCATGTGCCTGTAATCCCAGCTACTTGGGAGGCTGAGACAGAAGAATTGCTTGAACCCAGGAGGCAGAGGTTGCAGTGAGCTGAGATCGCGCCACTACACTCCAGCCTGGGCAACAAAGCGAGACTCTGTCTCAAAAAAAAAAAATGATCTTAATGTAATGTAATATAAATAATAGTTAGGGTCCGAAGAATGTAAAACAAACAAATCTGAGTTATGGCATTGGTTGCAGAACTCTGTGTAGTTACTAAAAAGCACTGAATTTTATACTTACGGGTGGTATATTTTATGGTTTGTAAATTATACCTCACCTACATTTTCTCCTAATTTTATTAAAATACCGATTTATAGGTTTAGCCAAAAAAGAAGAAAATTCAAGTGTCAACATTAGTGATTTAATATCTTTATCTATTTCTCTTTCTTCCAAATTCTCTAAATATGTGTTACTTTTATTATCAGAAATAAAACTTTTGTTGACTCTAAACTTCTGTAACTGATACCTCCTAGTCTCAAAGATCTTAAAATTTATTAGTAAAGAAAGATGTATAATTGGTTGAATTATAGGACTGTAATTGCCAAAGTCTGTTGAAGGGAAAGAGTGAGATAGAAATCGTGGGTAAATTAAAAGAGCTTTGAAACTGATAGAAGAGGTGGCCCTTGAGTAAGTACTCTTACAGTCGGAAGGAAAGTTTCAGGGGTCTCTTGTTGATGCTATCCAGCTGTCCTGTCATTACAAAAAACATGAGCCACATTTTACATCAGAGCTTTTTTTTAAAAAAATTATCATTCCTGTCAATTTTTGACAAATAATTTTAATCACAAAATACTTGTTTAGCGAGAGAAAATAACCCAATATGAGCAAAAAACAAAAATAAAAACTACATTGTGGCCGGGCGTGGTGGCTCAATCCTGTAATCCCAGCACTTTGGGAGCCTGAGGCAGGCAGATCGCTGAGGTCAGGAGTTCGAGACCAGCCTGGCCAACATGGTGAAACCCCATCTTTACTAAAAATACAAAAATTAGCCAGGCGTGGTGGCTCACACCTGTAATCGCAGCTACTAGGGAGGCAGGAGAATTGCTTGAACCGAGGAGGTGGAGGTTGCAGTGAGCCGAGATTGTGCCACTGCACTCCAGCCTGGGCGACAGAGCAAGATTCCATCTCAAAAGAAACAAACAAAACTTATTGAGTAACTTATGCAGCCAGGAAGCTGATTGTAAATGGCAACTGACAAGCTGAACTTTTATGATTCCATAGTGGAGAAGCAGCCAGAGAAGCTACATCTCAGAAGAAGGACTCTCTTGCCTTTTTAAAATTTGAGTCTTCCTCAGCTCTGCTTTGAGCATCCTTCAAGGTCATGTTAGTGCTGCCTCTTCCCTGAAATCTTTCTGGCTTTCATAGAAACAATCTTTTTCCTTCTTTTTACTTTTTGTTCATTTTTGTTGTTGTTGTTTTATTTGTGTACACTTACCTTTTAGCACTTACTACATTGTACTTTATGATACAGTCAATTGTGTTCAATTATAAACTATTGCCAACTTAGGGCTTTATGTTCTAAGGGTTGTGGTGTGAACCAAGCACTGACTAGTAATATCCAAACTCTTTTCCTATTGCCATCAAAATGGAACTAAACCAGAGTGCAGTTTGTGTTTCAATATAATTTAAGCAGTAATGAAAATGGCCATATCAACAAACATATGAAAAAAAGCTCATCATCACTGGTCATTATATAAATGTAAATCAAAACCACTATGAGATATCATCTCATGCCAGTTAGAATGGCAATCATTAAAAAGTCAGGGAACAACAGATGCTGGTGAGGCTGTGGAGAAATAGGAACACTTTTACACTATTGGTGGAGTGTAAATTAGTTCAACCATTGTGGAATGCAGTATGGCAATTCCTCAAGGACCTAGAACCGGAAATAACATTTGACCCAGCAGTCCCATTACTGGGTATATACCCAAAGGATTATAAATCATTTTACTATAAAGACACATACACACATATGTTTATTGTGGCATTATTCACAATAGCAAAGACTTGGAACCAATCCAAATGCCCATCAACGATAGACTGGATAAAGAAAATGTGGCACATGTATACCATGGAATACTATGCAGCCATAAAAAAGAATGAGTTCATGTCTTTTGCAGGGACATGGATGAAGCTGGAAGCCATCATTCTCAGCAAACTAACACAGAAACAGAAAACCAAACACTGCATGTTCTCACTCATAAGTGGGAGTTGAACAATGAGAACACATGGACACAGGGAGGGTAACTTCACACACTGGGGCCTTTCCGGGGATGGGGGGTAAGGGGAGGGGGAGAATCAGGACAAACACCTAATGCATGCGGGGCTTAAGACCTAGAAGATGGGTTGATAGGTGCAGCAAACCACCATGGCACGTGTATGCCTATGTAACAAACCTGCATGTTCTATACATGTATCCCAGAACTTAAAATTTTTTTAAAAAAAGGGCCATAGTGGTTTCTGAATGAAAAGAGTTAGAGATCACTGATGTGGTCATGGCAGACATGGGATTTGGGCTGAGCCTTCAAACGTAGATAAAATTCCTATAAACATAAATGAACAGAGAAAGACATAACTGCCAGGGCAGCTGGCTGGAGTAGGACTAGTACTTCCACTCCACATCAACCAACACCACCACCAGTTTGGCTGGCATAGAGAGAATTAAATATCTTGCTAGTAGGGTGTGTGGGTTGCTCCTGAAAGTTTTCTAATGAAAACTCGAGCTGCTCAGATGTTCACTGTTATTCTACTAAAAAGATAATCTGGGTATTGTTCTGTGCGGTGTCAGTTTCTAGGACTTATTTTCTTTATACTTGTTGTTTGTTACTATTCCTTTTGTTACTTTGGCATGAATTTAATTATTGACACTGGATCATTAATGTGGCCAGGGCATTTGGGATGATTGGTCAGGAGACCCAGGGATCTGTAAGAAAATGTCATCCTGGGAAAGAGGAGATATAACAAGATATTGAAGATTGTGTCCAGTTCAGGGATATTAGTAAATTCTGAGAAAGATTTGAGTATCTTCAGCGAGGGTGAGTTTGAGGTTGATAGGACTACGTACAGAAACAGGGAAGTCAGACGTGGCAACAGTTTTAGGGCCAAAGTGACTGAATTCATGTGGTATGTACTGAAACTGAGGTGATAACCATTTATCCCAGTAAATCACTGAATCTGAGGATATAAAAGCTGAAAAGAGCATTAGTGGTGATGTAATCTGTTCCCACCATTTTACAAGAGAACAAGTGAGTCCTAGAGCGAGTAGGTAGTTTGAACTACCAAGATCAGGAGTGAAAGTCGTATGAGTCATCACTGCAGAGAAGATGGTCAGAGATCTGGCAGTGAATCACTTAGTTAAAATACAGCTCTCACCACAGATTATATCTGATCTTGGTGTGAAGTGCCAAAAAACACGTCATTCAGATCTCTCTGTATTTTATATTTTCTCCTGACATTTTGGAATGTGGTGGAACTCTTCAAAAGACTATCAAATAATTCCTATTTTAATTTTATAAAAGGAAAATTAATAGCATATGTGGGGAAAATGTACCATATAGTACATTGTGGGAAAAGTGTAGAAGTAGAGAATTAAGGGAAATTTTAGTATGGGTCATTTATATATTTTGGACACATGCCATTTCAGTCAAGTCCTTGAGTATACCCGTAAGAATCGAATTGATAATCGTACTTTTAAAAACCCTAGCAACCTGAACAGGACCCAAGAAATAGAATTAAAGAAAATAATAAGCCAGAACTTGGCGGTGGTTCTGTTATCTGTGAGCTTGACACTCTTTCCTTTTTGTCCTAAAGTTTCAGACTGGAATGGGCAGGAATCAACAGCAGGGGTCAGTTTTAATGATGCTAACTTGGTGTAACAAAATTATTTAGGATTATAAAATTTTCTTGATAGAGACTGAGATTAGTTTTTCTGTAGGAATTTTTGTTTGTTTGTTTGTTTTAAGAATTGATCCAGTTTCTGTGATGAACAGCAGATTGGTGGAGCTGGCTTATTTAGAATGACCTGTGTAATATTTTTTAAAAGTTCTAAATGCATAGTAGTCTCTTAGTAAGTGGTTGTCTCTGTTGTTACTTTCTAAATGCCTTTGATTAAATTGTAAGATTGTAAGCCGTTAGGAAGCAGTTCAACATTTCTACTCTCAGGGACTTCCAAGGTTGATTTGGATCTGGAGTAGCTCTTCTCCTCTGCCTGTTTTATGTTAATACATTTGGATTATTCCGGATGGTTCATGGTGGGTAAGGGAACCAATCTCCCACCATCTACCCTTTCTAACCAGCAGACTGTAAGCCCACAGAATTGATTACCAGACAGATTCACACCTAAGCCCATCTGACTCTTAAAGCACAGCTCTTAACACTAGGAAGTGCTGCTTCCCGGAGGCAGGATTATAGAAGTTAAGACTTAACCCTGAAGTGATTTGCTAGTTGATTGGCCAGGAGCTGCAGACTGTTACCCCAACTCCTGCTCCAGATTTCCTTTCTTAGTCAAATGCACACAGTCCTCTCTAGCATAACTGTGAATGTGTTAGAAAACAATCAAAACTTGTCTGGCAATGATTCACACATAACCAATTAAGTCCTGGAAAAATGGATTAACCAGATATTAAACATTTTGCTGTTTCATGGGCAGTTAATATAGTGGAACTTATTTACATCACACGATGGAAAAATTAGTGCAAAAAATATTTTTAAGTTGTTGCCTTATCAGGAGAGCTAAATCAAACTGAAAATGGGAAAACATGAAAGTTCAACTGCCAACCACACAAATTTGTTTTCAAATGCATGCTTAAATGTTTTCAGAACTGAGGAATCACTGGCAGTTTAGTTACAACTTGAATAACTATACTTCTGGATACTTCTTATATTCCCAGAAGATTTCTGCCTCACTAATAGCTTATGGAAAATACTTGGCCAATAAGCTCATGCTATTATAATTTCAGATTTACTGAAACTATTAAAAATGAAGTAAAAAATATTCTGAATAAGCAACGAGTAATAGTAAATTTGGTTTATTAGGAATAATTTCCTCTCAACTTTGAAATTTATGTATGTTATGGAAAAATTACTGGCATTGAATTTGCAGTGTGTTTAATAGGAAGTCCTGCCTTCTTTAAGTAACACATTCATTAATCTGATATGTTTTCAGTAAAACAAAATCTTAAAACCCACAAAGAGCAAATGACCAATATTTTCTCTCTCTCTATGTGTGTGTGTATATATATGTGTGTGTGTGTGTGTGTGTGTATATATATATAATTTGTTACTGAAACTTTTTATTTGCTGCCATAATATTATACATATTGCTGTATTTGGAGTAAAAATATGACTAGAGAAATATATGGGCATTTTTTTAGTGATTTGATAAACCCGTGTGTTGCTTTTGGGCTTCATGAAGCATCTAGGCAAATTCTTTAAGTACAGTGATATATTGTTTTGGTCTGTGCATGGAGTTGTTACTGGAAACTTCATGTGTCATTGGAGAGCAATATATGGCCTTTTCTATTTCAGAGATGAAGTATAATGCAAAAGCAGATTTGAGATGACAGTCAAGAACTGAGATTTTCAAACCTCTAGACTTTTTAAATGAAGAATATTTATTTTTCTTTGTTTACAAGGAAGTAACTGAAATGATTTGTTATGCATATGTGATCCAGAAGGTATCTAGCAAGTGTTCTTTAATGCTAGTATTTCCAGGTTACAGTTCCTTTCTGTTTACATGCACATAAATATACACATTGACACATTTCTGCAAATGAAATGCCTATTTTAGATAACTCATGTTTACTAACTGCAATTTGTGTTTTACATTTCCCTTTGGAGTTTTTTTTTTTTTAAATTTCATGGAAAGAAACATGTAGAAAATTGTGTTCTTTTTAATTACTGTAGGCCTGGTTGAGTTCATGGAATGACCCTAAGCAATTTGTAGTCTTTAAAGAAAAGAGAGAAGACATTACTTGAAGATTTTAAATCATGTAAAATGCATATATTAATGTAGAAAACCAGTTTTTTGATAGCTTTCAGTTTTGTGAGAAATGTTAGCCTTCCTCCAGTAGGAAGAAGAGGATTTGCAATACTTAACATTTCCTTTTCTCTGGATGGGCAACAGAATTATCATCTTTTAGACAATTTTGGTAAAATAATAATTCAATCAGGACTCAATAAGTTAAGAAAGTACACAGTAATTCAAGCATAGGAATTAATCTTCTGTAGAATTTTTCAAATAAATACTAGAATGTTTTAAAGGTTATCAGTTACCTTTCCAAATTTTTGGTCATCCTTAACATCATTTTGTCATTTGACACCATTTGCTACTACCACTGAACAACTGTCTCTTTCTGTAGTTTCATTATGCCACACATTCCTGAGGTTTTTGCGCCCCCAACCCCACTTTTTTGTATTTGAAGTTCCAAGGGTTGCCAGATTAGATTTTGTATGCCCAGTTAAATTTGAATTTCATATAAGAAGTTAATATATTTTTTAGTATGAGTATGACCCTTGCAGCACTTAACTGGGCATCCTGTATTTTTATTTGCTAAATATGGCATCTTGAAGTCCTCTGTCTTCTCTAAGAAGGTTTTCCTCTCTTTCTGCTTCCTTGGGCATCCCACCAATCCAAGACCTTGATTCTCTTTACCTCCTGATGAGAGTGCATTGATGTGGTTTGGCTCTGTGTCCCTACCCAAATCTCATCTCAAATTGTAATCCCCACATGTCAGAGGAGGGGCCTGGTGGGAGATGATTGGATCATGGGGTGGATTTCTCCCTTGCTGTTCTTGTAATAATGAGTGACTTCTTATGAGAGCTTTTGGTTTAAAAGTGACATTTCCCTGCCTCGCTCTGTCTCTCCTGCCACCATGTAAGATATGCCTTTCTTCTCCTTCACCTTCCGCCATGACTGTAAGTTTCCTGAGGCCTCCCCAGCCATGTGGAACTGTGAGTCAATTAAACCTCTTCTCTTTATAAATTACCCAGTCTCAGGTAGTTCTTTATAGCAGTGTGAAAACAGACTAATACATGCGTCTAACCTTATGGAACAAGTTGTCACCTCTTTGTGCTGATTTCCAGTCCACATCTCTAACCTTGCCTGATTTAGCCCCAAATTTCAGAAAACCTACTATAACTCTAGTTGCATCTGGTGCTAGTATCTCCAACTAAACATGACCAAGCTGAACTCTATTTTGAATGCTCCAGACCACGTATCCCAATTGCCTTCAGGGTTTACATTGTTTTCATTAACTGAAAGATATCAGTTTCTCAGGTTGTCTATGCCAGGGTCATGTTAGACCCTCCTCACAAGACATCTCTCAACATGTTTGTAGAGTTTTCATCAAAATGGCTACCACTTCATCATCTGCTTTTGAGTTTCATTGCTATTATCCTATTCAGTTATAAAGTATTGATGGTTCTTGGAGTAAGTTTCTTTTCTGGGCCCTTCTGATTATATGTCCCTTCTTTCACATTCCTCTACATTCTGCTGCTAGATTAGTCTTCTTTCATCACAGTCTCTTAGATCATGTTCCCTGGAAACCTATGTTGCATGCAGGTTTATTGGAGAATGATTCAGGAGACACAGCTATAAGGAAGTGAGAAAGGCAGGGTTGGGCAGAGAGAGTTGACCCACATGAAGTTGTACCTAAAACCTCAGGTGATCCTACAGAGTGTTCCAAGCTGGGTTGAGTTTTTAGATTTGTCAAAAATTAAGGCCGAGGGCCAGGCCATTATGCCCGACCATGCTCTCCTGAGTGACCTTTGAGGTCCATTTCAGAGTCCCTCTAATTTCTTTGTTCGTGTGGCTGTCCTTTGCTCTGTAACTGCCCTCTGAGTCTCCTCCTCTCTGCCTCCTCAAGGGCCTGGCTATGAGCAACTCACCCCATGAGAGGAGGCAGAAACTGGAGGAGGCTTCCACAGCTAAGATCTCTTTCCACCAAATGATACAGCTGTGGAGTAGCTGAAGGATGGGTCTGTTGGCACCAAAGAGGGCTGTGAGATGAGCTCCACAATGTTCACCACAATCACTGTCAACATTTCACTTTCCTGCTTAGGGACCTTTGGTGTATTCCCTATACTGCTTTATCAAGGTAAATGTTACTATTAGACTTCCGGGGTCCCATCATTATCTGACCCCACCTTGCCTGTCACTGAACCCAATTTCTCCCTATCTTCAGTGTCTCCCTCCAGTCCATTAAGGGTTACTCCTACCTGGAAAGTCTGCTCTTTAGCTTCCTTGAGACCCCTGCCCACTCATTGTCCATGCTGTACCTTCGTTCAGGCCTTAGGCCTTTGCTTCTGCTATCCTTCCTTCTGGAATGTCCCCTCTTCTCTAAGTCTTCTGTTCATCTTTAATCCCCTGCGGGTGAATCAATCCTGCTTATTATTAATACTGTGTAATTCTATTATTCATTGTATACTAGCTCTTATTTTTTCATTAGCTCCATGTATGCTGTTCTTGTCTTCAGTATTTATTTTGGACGATGAGACTGTTTTTGGTATTTTTGGCAGTATCTAGCAGAATGCTAGGCTCATAGTAGTGAATCAATGACTGCTTTACTCCTTGATTATATTTGTATATGGCACGTCCAAAATATTAATACTGAAAGTGGTGAGATAAGATGGAGAGAGTTTTCTAGTAAGATTGTATTTGAGCTCCACTGGTGAACTTCCCTGAAAGAATTTCAGAGTTACATGTGTGTACGGGTTTGGGTGGCTCCTACATGGATGATCTGAAGTAAGAGCATGAATTAACAGCTGCTGTTTCCCTCTCCTCTTATCTCACTTTAGTCTCCCACACTGTGCTGGGACCATTGCAGACTTGGAGTCTCTTCTCTGTGATTCCAGCCCACCTTTTGGAGTTCACTTCTTGTCCTGATGCCCAGTGCTGTGCTCCCCTCCACTCCTTTTGCTGCCCAGTAACTCTCTTCCCTTACCTGCAGAGCAGCCTTTGCCCTGGACATTAGCACCATGCTCTGACTCTTCCTGGCCAACTCTCCCCTTCAAAACTTAGGTGCATAAATGAATGAACTACATTTACATACAATAAAACATAATGTTGCCTGAAAAAAGGCAGACACAAAAGAGCACATAATGATTGTTGCAAAGATGGACAAAACTAATATCTGGTGTTGTAATCAGTATTGTAGTAACTCGTGGAAGGGGCAGTCTTTAGAAGGGATTATGAAAAGGCTTCTAGAATGCTAGGAATCTTTAATTTCTTGACCAGGTGCAGATTTCATGGATGTATAATGCTTGCACTGTGTACTTATGATTTGTGCTTCCTTGTATGTATGTTATACTCTGACAAAAAGTTTTAAAATCATTTATCTGCTTGGTAAGCTGATCACTTTATAAACTCTTCAGTGAACAGGGGCTAGTGTGTTGCTCTTCCCAGTAGTACTAATTAGGAGATAATAGAAATAGAGGAATCATAAAGTTGGCCCTCTGTGTCCACCCTCTTTATGGTGGTTCTAGGGAGGACTTGGAGGCTGTCAAGCTCATCCAGATGCTTCTGGATATTAGCATACATTAATCAAAATTCATGTTCAAAGTCTTAAATTTTTCTTCTAACAGAGCCAAGCTACCAGATTATTTTTCTTTATGTCTTATTAATTCCCAAAGGAGATATCTACTCTATCTTCAGAAATAAAGAATAGTTGATTTTGAGTTTCGTTAAGTATTCTAAATAGAATGACAATTTCTGTTTTGAAAAATAATTTCCCATTGAATCTTCAAAATAACTGGGAAAGAAAGATTGAGGTAGAGTTAACAATTCTGATTGTTATTTCTCACTACATCCTTCAATTTGGATGTACTTTCTCGTGGCACAAAGGCTTCCGGCACAGAGAGAAGAAGCCCTGTTGGGTTTTTCCACTTTGACTTGGGTGGTGTAAATTAATGTGATCAGATCGGAAAGGTGCAGGAACAGAAAGTGCATGCAGCAAGTTGTAGTAGGAGGGAGTAGGTATTTCGAATCAACCAAACCTAGTCTTCAGGCTGGGCATCGGCACTTAGTCAGTGTGTGAACTTAGGCAGACTGTTTAACCTTTCCTCTAACAGAGTGGTAACATGCCCTCTCCCTGTGCCAAGTTCTTGTGAAGACTAGACACCCTGAGTATGAAGCTGCAGATTCAGGCTGTGATGGTTACTGCCATTGTGACATGGGACTAGAACAGAGAGGACACACATTTTCACATTGTTATTTTGAATGCACTGTATTTCTATATTCTATAAAGATGGCACATAGTAGGCACTTTTCATATTTCTTGGAAATAAAAATGAATACAAGGAAACAATTCTTGCTCTCCAAACAATAACTCAAAATTTTGGGAAAGAAAACAATTTTATGGCCATATGTTGGTAAGTAGTACAGAATCTTTCATAAATACAAAGGAACTCTAAAGTGAATGAAGATGCTTGTGATGTGAGCTTTGTCAGGAACGGTTATATTAACAGATGTAGGTGTGACTGAAGCTTAATTTTGGAAAATCAGTCATAATGACAATAGACAATGTTGATTCTACATGGTCTTCGAGCTGGGCACTTGACTTCCTGCTTTACATGTGTTATATCCTCTAATCCACACAACTACTCTGGGAAGAGTTAGCTGCCAGCATGATCTCCATTATAGGTGAGAAAATCAAAGCTTCAGGAGAAGAATGTCACTTACCCAGAATCACACAGTTAGTGGAATGGGGCAGGTGTCTGTGTCCAAAAGCCCTTGTAGCCATCTGCATCAACCTAAGAGTGAACATGGTGTTTGTAGGGCATAGTACCGAAGAGGTTTTGGAAACAGTTGCTCTCAGGAAGCTGTGAGTCAGTTGGAGAATTAATAATTCTACCTCTGTGTTCTTAAATCTCAGCAGAAGAGTAGCTCATAAACAGTTATATCAAGGAGGGGAAATCATGTGGATGTAGAGTGAGAACTGATTTTAAGTTGCTGCTACTCATTATGTGCTGTGCAGCCTTGGACAAGTTACTTAACAAAATTGAGCATCTGTTTCCTTAAAATATCCTTAAACAGGGTAGAGAGATAATATACTTTGCCATTTTTGATCTATGGGGCTATTGTAATGATCTGGTGGATTTATGAAATTGTCAAGTGCAACAAAGTAAGTTATTTTTGTTAATAGTTCAAGTAATAGATGTGGTGATGGTAATAATAATATGATGATATAGCAATTATTGTAATAACTTAAAATAGTAATAAAAATAGACAATATAACTTGGAGTCAGATGGCCACAAGGATTGAATTGCCTTTTGCTGGCAATATTTCAAATATTTTCTGATTAAGTTGTTTTGCTAGATTCGTAGTTTGTGGCTTTGGCTCAGACAAGCAATTAAATTCTCCTCAGGAAATCATGAAAGGTTACCTTTGGTTGTACAGCCTACACTGTTGAAATTTTGGCTTCAATTCAGGATTCATGGACAAATTAACATCTGAATCACTTGAGACCTATTCATAAAGAATAGGATGATGTATATAACTAAAGCTTATGTGCATAGCTAAAGTGACTTGAGTTTCACAATGAAGCTGGGAGATGGAGACTATACTCCCGTACTCTGAGTCACCTACTGCAGGGCAGCCATCTATGGGGCTGTGATGGTGTTTATATGTAAGTGAGCATCGGACTTGGTTGGAGCTCGCTGATTTAATGGAGGATGCCTCCAGTCTAGCAAGTGAGGTTTGTAAAGGGCCCTGTAGGACCCTCCAAGAAAAGTTATGTATAAAGGAGAGTTATACTCATTTGCAAATCATTTCTTAAAGTAAAATGCCCATGAAAGTCAGTAACACCATAGTTTGTTTCTAAAAAGTAAACTTAAATACTTTTAGAGGACTTCAGAGCTAGAAAACATTTATATCTTACTTAGAGTGGTCATTACCCTTGCCTGCCTTGCTGTGGTATAAGTAATGAAATTGTGTATACAAACTGTTATCGTGGCAGGGATTATTATTAGATAATTTCTTTGTATAACCTTAAAAAATATGGCATGTTATGCAAATTATACGAAATGTATTTCTTACTAACATAATTTCAGGGTAGTGTGAAGCTCAATTTTAGGGATTTGGGAAATAAATGTGAATTATTTTTATTAAGCTGTTTTGCTAAGATGACTAATTCTGACCAACAATTTCTGTATCGTAGATCTACTTATTATTTAAAACTTTTATTACTCATGTTTTCAAAAAGATTCTTTGAGGATAGATTAAGTAAAAATGACCACACAGTGTAGTGTGGTAGTTATGTCTCTGTTAGTCAAAATTTCTAGCAGTTTTAGTTTTAAAGATATGATTAGTCATCTGTATAGAAATTTCAATAAATTGCTTTTGCAATTATAGCTATCTTAGAAGAATTTCTTCCAGAGAAGTTGAGTAAGAATGCCAATTAATTCCAGCTGTTGGAGTGAATTGTATGTAGAATGTCTATGAGTTCAACCGTCAGTAAACTAGGACAAAGCTCTTAAATGTTATAATTTCACAATCAAAAAACTTTGCAACCAGTTGTCCACTTATTAGACTGAATTATTGAATGAAGCATTAGTTTCTTCAGTATTTATTTATATTTATTTATTTTTTTGAGATGGAGTCTCACTCCTGTTACCCAGGCTAGAGTGCAGTGGCGTGATCTCGGCTCACTGCAGCCTCTGCCTCCCAGGTTCAAGCAATTCTCCTGCCTCAGCCTTGTGAGTAGCTGGGACTACTGGCGCCCACCCCCACTCCCAGCTAATTTTTGTATTTTTAGTAGAGACAGGGTTTCACCACGTTGTCCAGGCTGGTCTTGATCACCTGACCTCATGATCTGCCCACCTTGGGCTCCCAAAGTGCTGGGATTACAGGCATGAGCCACCGCATTCAGCCTCTTCAGTTTATTTTTAAAGAACTCAGTATCCCTGGCACTGTTGGCCATCTCTGTGGAGATACTAGTTCTAGCAGGAAGGCAAGGTTGGGGGAGTTTTTTGTTTTTTAAAAAGGCTTAATTTTTAATTAAAAAATTTTTTAAATTATGTTTTTTCATTACACTTGCATAGTCAGTTATGTGTGTGTGTTTTAATTGACTTTATTTTTTAGAACTGTTTTAGGTTTATGGAGAAATTGAGTGTAAAGTCCAGAGATCCCATATACTTCTTTTCCCTGGCACACAGTTCCCTTTATTATTAACATCTTGTATTATTGTGGTACATTCATTACAATTCAATTGATACAATTGATGAACCAAATTTATACATTAATATTATCTAAAGTGCAGAGCTTACATCAGGGTTCACTCTGTTGTATAGTTCTTTGGGTTTTGACAAGTGCATGATGTATTTACATATCTACATGTAGATATTACATACATGCAGATATATAATATCTGCATGATATTACAGTATCATGCAGAATACTTTCATTGCTGCCCAACCCCCCACCCCACCCCTGCTGCCTGTCCCTGTCTTCCATCTACTTACACCCTGCTTATACCCATCCCAATCCCGTCAACCACTCATGTTTCTGTCTTAATGGTTTTGTCTTTTCTAGAATGTCATACAGTAGAACGATAGATTGTATAGCCTTTTCCTATTGGCTTCTTTCATTCAGCAATTTGCATTTAAAGTTCCTGTATATCTTTTTGTGAATTGATATCTCATTTCTTTTTGTCATGGAATAATATTCTATTGTATGGATGTACCACAGTTTATTTATTTATTTACCTGTGGAAGGACATCTTGGTTGCTTCCAAGTTTTGCCAATTATGAATAAAGCAGCTATACACATTCATGTGCAGGTTTTTGCATGGACATACATTTTCAACTCATTTGAATACTTAATTTCCATTTACCTAGCATTGAGATCAAATAGACACTGAGTATATAGATGAAGGTCAAGAAAAACACACCATTCCTATGAGAATAAGAGGTAGTGGAAGATAGAACACGGAGGGTTTAAAAGTATGGGTCCTGCAGAAACGCCAACCTGTCTTCTGCCAGTGGGTAAATGGACCATGGGGAGAAACTGGAAGGACGTTTTCTTCTTGGTTACATTTCAGAATAATCTAGAGGAGTACCAATTAAGCATCCTTAATCCATTCCAATTTTTGACCTAGTTAATTCAATTCCCAGAAACACTTTTAAAATGCATTTATAAATTTAATATATTTGGTTCTTTTAAAGCCTCCAAATGCCTTGATCTAACAACCAGAACTTCTCCATGTGATAGCTTAAAAGCTTTTCTTGTAAACCCAATAAAACAAAATTTGTATATGTAGTTTCTCTTAAGCATTCTAGTATTGGTGGGAACCTAGTAAAATTGTTTTATACCTTTCAATTTAAAAATCACATTTTAAAATAAAAGAAATTGATATTACATGCATAGTCTATTACTATATCAAACTGTCTTAAACGTAATACTTTATGAACTAAATATTGAAACCTGTCCAAATGATTACATATTGATTCCTAAACTTAACCTCCAAGGTTTAAATACTGTGGGTTTGCTTTAAAATAATTATGTCTGTATTTAAAACTAAATATTTCCAGAGTCCTTGTCACCCAGAGTGATTTATAGTTCTCATCTCTGGAAGTGGTGTTGTTATATAACGTGGTTTAGGTAACTTACCAGCCAGTGATCTGAGACCTGTTGGAGGTCTGCCATGTGGACCCAGCAGTATTCTTCTCTCCCACCCATTGACAGATGCTTGACACCATTTTGTATAGTCAGTATCACAATCGGAGGATTCTAAGTCTCTACCTTGAAGTAATTATTTTTCTACCTTGAAGTAATTATTTTATTTCATTTGAATCTGCATTCTTCTGAATCGGGAGACACCTAACTTCCTTCAGCTAATCTCTTAAACTTCTCATTGAATTCTCTATTTGTTTAATATTTTTTTTCCCTATTGGTTAGGTCACAACTCTTAAAACTTTTGAAATCTAATATTACCGAATTCTCCAGATCTCTCACACCTCTGTCTCTGTAGCTATACTGCTAAGATCTTGCTAATGACAGCTATGTCTGACTGAGTTTCCTGTGGAGATACTCATCTGCTTGTTGAATTACCCACTGACAGAACTGTAACCATGAATCATATGTATTAAGGAAAAGTAAAGAAATTATACTCTTTTACAATTCAGATGTTTGAGGTCTCTGTTGACACGTTATATATGAATGTATCCTGTATGTGGCAGAGCGAGTTTCAAATACAACTAAAGGTTTTTCACAAAAGTTTCATTATGAAGTACTATATTAGTCCAGTTGCATACTGCTGTGAAGAACTACTGGAGATTGGGCAATTTATAAACAAAGGAAGTTTGATCGACTCACAGATCTGCATGTCTGGGGGAGGCCTCAGGAAACTTACAATTATGGCAGAAGGGGAAGCAAGGCACATCTTACATGGCAGCAGGAGAGAGAAACAGAGAGTGAAGCGGGAAGTGCCACACTTTTAAACCATCAGCTCTTGTGAGAATTCATTCACTATCATGAGCACAGCATGAGGGAAACTACCCCCATGTAATACCTACTCCAGTGACAATGTAGGTATTACAATTTGAGATGGGATTTGGGTGGGGACACAGCCAAACCATATCATTCTCCCCCTGGCCTCTCCCAAATCTCATGTCTTTCTCACATTTCAGAACCCATCATGCCTTCCCAGCAGTCTCCCAAAGTCTTAACTCATTCTAGTACTAACTCAAAAGTCCAAGTCCAAAGTCCCATCTGACACAAGCAAGTCCCTTCTGAATATGAGCCTGTAAAATCGAAAACAACTTAGTTACTTCCAAGATACAGTGGGGGTACAGGCATTGGGTAAATGTTCCCATTCTAACAGGGAGAAATTGGCCAAAACCTAGGGGCTTCAGGCCCCATGAAAGTCTGAAATCCAGCAGGGCAGTCATTAAATCCTTTTTTTTTGAGATGGAGCCTCACTCTGTTGCCTAAACTGGAGTGCAGTGGCATGATTTTGGCTCACGGCAACCTCCGCCCCCCCAGGTTCAAGCAGTTCTCCTGACTCAGCCTCCCAAGTAGCTGGGACTACAGATGCATGCCACCACAACCGGCTAATTTTTGTATTTTTAGTAGAGACAGGGTTTCACCATGTTGGTCAGGCTGGTCTCAAACTCCTGACCTCAGATGATACACCCGCCTCGGCCTCCCAAAGTGCTGGGATTACAGGCATGAGACACTGCCCGGCTAGTCATTAAATCTTAAAGCTCCAAAACAGTTACCTTTGACTCCATATCTCACATCCAGGGCACTCTCATGCAAAGTGTGGGCTCCTAAGGCCTTGGGCAGCTCTGCCTCTGTGGCTTTGCCAGGTAGAGCCCCCATTGCTGCCTTCACGGGCTGGTGTTGAATGTCTGTGGCTTTTCCAGGCCTTTGGTGCAAGCTGTTGGTGGATCTACCATTCTGGGGTCTGGAGAACAGCGGCCTTCTTCTCACAGCTCCACTAGGCAGTGCCCTAGTGGTGATTCTGTGTGGGGGCTCCAACCCCACATTTTGCCTCTGCATCGCCCTAGTAGAGGTTCTCTATAAGGACTCCTCCCCTGCAGCAGACTTCTGCCTGGACATTCAGGCATTTCCATACATCCTCTGAAATCTAGGTGGAGGTTTCCAATCCTCAACTCTTGTCTTCTGCACACCCACAAGCCCAACACCACATGGAAGCCTCCAAGGCTCCAAGGCTTGCAACCTCTGAAGCAAAGGCCCAAGTTGTAACTTGGTGCCTTTTAGCCATGGCTGGAGCTGGAATGGCCAGGATGCAAGGCACCATGTCCCAAGGCTGCACAGAACAGCAGGGCCCTGGGCCTGGCCCATGAAGTCATTTTTCCCTCCTAGGCTTCTGGGCTTGTGGTGGGAGGGGCTGCTGCAAAGATCTCTGAAATGCCCTGGATACGTTTTCCCCATTGTCGTGGCTATTACCATTCGGCTTCTTTTTTCTTATGCTAATCTCTGCAGCTGGCTTGAATATCTCCCCAGAAAATGGGTTTTTCTTTTCTACCACATGGTCAGGCTGGAAATTTTCCAAACTTTTATGCTCTGCCTCCCTTTTAAACATAAGTTCCAATGTCAGACCATCTCTTTGTGAACACATATGACTCTACACTGTTAAGAGCACTCAGGCTCTGCTGCTTTGCTGCTTGGAAATTTATTTTGCCAGATATCCTAATTCATCTTTCTCAAGTTTAAATTTCCACAGATCTCTAGGGCAGGAGCAAAATGACACTAATCTCCTTGCTAAAGCATAGCAAGAGTGACCTTTACTCCAGTTCCCAATAAGTTCCTCATCTCCATCTGAGACCACTTGAACCTGGACTTCATTGTCCATATCACTATCAGCATTTTGGTCAAAACCATTCAACAAGTCTTTAGGAAATTCCTAGCTTTCACGCAACTTTCTGTCTTCTGAGCCTTCCAAACTGTTTCAGCCTCTGTCCATTACCCAGTTCCAAAGTCACTTCCACATTTTCAGGTATCTTTATAGCAGTACCCCACTCTCAGTGCCACTTTTCTGTATTAGTTCATTTTCACACTGCTATAAATAACTACCTGAGACTTGGTAATTTATAAACAAAAGAGGTTTAATTGACTCACAGTTCAGCAAGGGTGGGGAGGCCTCAGGAAACATATAATCATTGCAGAAGGTGAAGGGGAAGCACGACACATCTTACGTGGTGGGAGGAGAGAGAGAGAACGATGGGTGAGGTGCCACAGTTTTAACCTATCAGATCTTGTGAGAACTCACCATTATGAGAGCAGGATGGGGGAACCTCCCCGATGATCCAATCACCTCCCACCAGGACCCTCCCCTTGACACATGGAGATTACAGTTTGAGGTGAGATTTGGGTGGAGACACAGAGCCAAACTGTATTAAGTACAATTTTTAGATTAGATTTTTGGGACTGACTTGGCTCTTTCAGCCCCTGTATCTAGTCCATCAGTACATTTAGTGGCTCCACCTGCAGAATAGATCTGGAATCTGACAGCTTATCACCACTTCCTTGGCTGCCATTCTCTCTTGCTTGGGCTCTATTGTTATATTGACACTTGACTGTTTTTTTTTTCCCCCACCCTTTTCCCCATTATCTGTCTTCCACATAGCAGTTAGCAGATTGTCATTCTACCACTATCAATCCTCCAGTAGCATTAGTCATAATAGACTAATAGCCAAATTCTTTACCTGTATGTTGTAGATCCTGGCTTGTCCTCAACCTCATGTCCCATCAATATTCTTAGCCACACTGGTCTCCTTGTTTTTCTTTAATCTCACAGCACATGAGGTTCCCCCTCAGAACCTTTGGACTTACTGTGCCTCATCTAGTAACTCTCTGCCCTCTAATATTATTAGCATGTCCCTCTCCCTTATCCAATCAGGTCTCTGCTCAAGAGATTACCTCCTCAAAGATGTCTTCAGAGAATACATCTGATCATTTTTTTCTGATTTAAACTCCCTCTCTGCCCCTCCATACATCCTACCCTAGTTCCAGTCACTCTATGGCCTCTTCACTGGCTATTTTTATTTATAATACTTAAAAAAGGCTGGCATTGTTATGTATGTGTATTTGTTTATTGTTACAAATTTACTGGTATAACTCCAGCACCTAGAATAATTCTTGGCACCAGTAAGTGTTCAGAAACACTTGTAGGAGTAATCTTCTGTAGAAGTAATCTTCTGTAGGAGTAGAAGGACTAATCTCCCCACCTTCCCTGATGCTTGTAGTGATGGAGAGGCCCAAGGGAAAGTTACACATAAGAGACCCCAATGAGAACACTGTTATTGGACCCATAGCTGATTGACTTAGGCTTCCTAAAGTAGCTTGTCATTTTCAGCATGGAATTTACATTAGACAATTTAGTTTTTTTTTAAGCCACTTTACTTAACAATTTATAGTAAAATACCTACTTGTTAAAAGAAGATAGGTATGTTTAAAAGGAAAATACCTGAAAATACCTTACATAAGTTTGAATTTTTAAAAGAGTCAATCAGCATGGAAAAAATGAACATATTGTTAAATATTGAAGTATCATTGATAAGTCTTGTGGTTGAAAGTGCTATACAATGCAGGAAACACTTTTCCTCTACATTATCTTAAGCATGTGTGTGGGCCGGAGGTCAGGTTTAATAAAAATACTTTAGCTTAAGAACATAGGTCATGAAAAGGAGCTTATGTAAAAGGCTTTGAAGAAGTTCTTATAGAGGAAGTCACTCAGTGTAGTGGGTTACAATGCCTTGAGTAGGTCAGAGGCGATGAGAAAGTCACATGGCTAGGGCCTTGGTGAATGTTTCTGGGACTGTCAGTGGTGTCTGCATGATCTCTTCTCATGCTAGTAGCCATTTCCCACATCCAGCCATCACCTTGTCACCCATCATGTCAGCACTTAGCTGTCGACTCTGTTTGCCATTGTCTTTTCTTTAAAGAAGTAGCAGAGGAGTGATATTGGGTTATTCAGAATAACCAGGTCTGGGCATAGCTTCAGCATTTCCACTTCCTGTCTCATGAGCTCATTTTGTTTTAAATCTCATTCATGTTCTATAAAGATGGGGATGCTTCCAACTATTAGTTGATTGATAATTGAAAACAACTTCATTTCTAAAATTTGTGAAACCATTAGTCACACAATGGCTATAATATGAACACCATGTAAAGGCTCTATGATGGTAATTGTACAATGTATCTGCATGTCAGAATCCCTTGGGAAGCATTTATAAATGCATACCCCAGATATACTGAATCAGAATCTTTGAGGCTGAGGTACAACAATCCCATTTTTAAAGTTTCCTAGGGACTTTGATATGTTTTCCTGTTTGCAACCACTCATCTGGGGGCACAAGAAAAGTTATAAGGCATATTTTCTGTCTTCAAGTCTCTTGTGTCTAGTTCAAAAATGAAAATGAGAACAAATGGCCCAGTTAGACAATGCATTGGAGTTGGTTTTCTGTTTGTGTGTTTGATTGGTGTGAATGAAGAGTAGTCTAGATAAGGCAGCATGTGGTTGGTATCCTTGATTTATTGTTGGATAAAGCACCAGATAGTCTGACTAGTATTGCAAGGTTTATTTTAGTGTATGAATCATTAGTATGGCTTCAAAAATGTATAATGTTAAATAGCCTTTTATGTAGCTTGTATCTCCCCTTCTACTTTCGAAGCTGGCAAGATTTTTAAGAAAGGACTTAAAAATAGACCCAATCATTTTGGTCAAATTTGTTTTTAGGGTGAAAATGAACAAACCCCTCATACCTTTTATAAATTGGCTTGCATTTCCTTTCAAATTCCTGTAAGAATGTAAACTTTGGATATTTCATAGTAGCTCTAATAATTCTAACAACAATTTAAAACCATTTAGACCAATTTACCCAATTGCCTTAATAAAAGGCTGTTCTGGCAGTGACTAAAAGACCCCTTGGTGGTGCTTAAATAAATTATTAGCTCTTGATGTTTGTCATCATATGGTCTTAGGCTCAAAATATCAGTGGCCTTCTGAAACTTTATTGTAAGGACATTTATTAAGTAAATGATCTGAAAATAAGATGGAAGCAATTCGAGGAAATTATGTCTCTACTTTGTATCTCTCATTTAGCATATGTACAATTACTACATTTTCCTACAAATTACTTTGAAAGATATATTAATCAACAGTGGTAGTAGGTATTATTAGAGAACAAAGCCATGATTATCAAATACATTTGTTTTGTTAAAACAATGGGAGTATGTCAGACATATAGATTGACTTCCTTGAAGACAAGTGAAAAGCAAGTAAGGCTGGAAGCTGATGTGTGGAGACTGAGAGGGGAGTGATCAGATAAAGTAGGGCCTTGTGTATGAAAGATGAGATTTTATTAGGACTGTAATGGGAAGCCACTGGAGTAATTGGGAAGAAATTGGAGGTTTTGTTCGTTTGCAGCATAAGTTTTAAAAGAGTACTTTGCATTTGGGTTTTTAGTAGACTGGGAAGAAAGGTGTTGGTAGTTTAAACTAAGTTTATAACCTGGAGATGGGGAAAAGTAAATGGAGACTGGACATTTTTTGATGGTACTGCTAATGGGACTTTCTGCTGGATTGATCCAGGGGATAAGAGGAAATAGGAATCAAGGCCAAATTCTGGGTTTTATTTGTTTAGCATTTACTGGAATGTATTATTTTATGGGAATAACAGGTTTGGGGCAGATCTGGGGGAAATCAAGGATTCTTTGAAATGGCTATCAGCCATGCAATTCATGATGTCTAGTTGGCAGCTGATGTATAAGGCTGGTGCTCAAGGATACACTCAGGCTAGAGGGAAAAGCTAGAGATTTATCAGTGAACAGATGGTCTTTAAAACCACAGAAATAGATGAGATTATCCATTCAGTGAATGTAGACAGAAAAGAGGGCTCAAGTCACAGCCCAGGGTTTAGATGTTAGGAGGATGAGGCAGCAGGAGTGACGGTGACTGACAAGGAGCAAAGGAGGACAAAGTAAACAAGAAGATAAAGGCATTGAAAAAGGAGAAAATAATCTGTCAGAGGTTTTTGCGAGACAGAAACTGACTAGAAAGAATGAAAGACATGGATGCCAGATTAGAGTAGGTTATGGATAAAGTGGGAGGTGATAGAGGAATTTGTAAGGATTGGGATCTTAAGAAAGAGTAACTGAGAAATGATTGTTAAGCGTGGGTAAGTGTGGCAGGTGGGGAGTGGAGAACTTGAAGTCAAGGGAGAATTTTATAAGATGGTGCTCTAGGGTATGTTTAAAGGTAATGTCCTAGCAGAAAGAGAGGAAGACTAGCCAGAGAGAACAGATAATTGCTGGAAGGAAGGGGAAGGAGAGATGGTTGAGTTTGCCCTTTGTAGGAGCAGTGGATGCCAGGCTATGAATACAAATGCGCTTAATACATGTAAGTCTCTGTGCAAGACAATGATAGTGAAAATCAAAGTGTGTTGTTGACAATGAAGTGCTAGGTAAATGTGACATGATCCTGTCATTCTGCAATTACTTCTATTACTTCTTGCCTCCCTCACCTCCTCCTCCTGCTCCTCTCTCACTTCCTTCCAAGTCACATATAGTAGTCCAGTGTACAGTACTAGTACAGTACAGTTTGTGGGTATATATTAAGTCCTGCATCACTTAATAACAGAGTGCATTCTGATAAATGTACCGTTAGGTGATTCCATCTTTGTGCAAACATCATAGAGTGCTAATATAAAAATATAGATGGTGCAGCTTTGTACATACCTAGGCTATATGGTATATAGCCCATTGCTCCTCGGTTACAAACCTCTACAGCATGTTTTCCTATTGAATACTGTAGGTAATTGTAACACAATGGTAAGTATTTGTATATCTAAATGTAGAAAAGGTGCAGTGAAAATACAGTATAAGAGATAAAAATGGTACACCTATATAGAGCACTTACCATGAATGGAGCTTGCAGGACTAGAAGTTTCATTGGTGAGTCAATGAGTGAGTAATGAGTGAATATGAAGGCCTACTATACTACTGTAGACTTTATAAATACTGTATAATTAGGCTACACTAAATTTATTTTAAAAACTTTTTCTTCAATAATAACCTTAGCTTACCATTAATTTTTTTACTTTATAAACTTTGTAATTAGAAACACTTTTAGACTCTTTTATAATAACCCTGAAGTTAAGATGCAGACACATTGCCTAGATGTACAAAAAATATCTTTTTTCTTTATATCCTTATTCTATAAGCTATTTTTAATATTTCAATTTTTTTCTTTTTTACTTTTTAAATGTCTTTCTTAAAAACCAATACACAAACACACACAGTAGCCTTGGATTCATGGGGTCAGGATTATCAATATCTCTATCTTCCACCTCGATGTCTTGTCCCACTGAAAGGACTTCAGGAGCAATAACATGCTTGGAGCTGTCATCTCCTATTATAACAAGGCCTTCTTCTAGAATACCTCCCGAAGAACCTGCCTAAGGCTGTTTTACAGTGATTTTTTTTTAACAAGTAAAAGGAGTAAAGGCATACACTAACATAATGATAAAAATGGTATACATAAACCAGTAACATAGTCATTTATTATCATTATCAAGTATTATTGTTCTGTACATAATTGTCTATGCAACCCTTTTATACAACTGCCAATGCAGTAGGTTTGTTTGCACCAGCATCACACAAACACAGGAGTAATGCATTGACCTACAATGTTATCATGACCATGACATTAGTAGGGGCTAGACATTTTTAAGCTCTATCATAATCTTATGTGACCATCGTCATATGTACAGTACATCATTGACCAAAATGTCATTATGCAGCATGTAACTGTATATTGTTTCTGTACCTGCTGAGCAGCAAGTAGAATGTTCACCTCATTTGCATCACAGATTCTTTTGAAATACAAGTTAAGCAGCCAGTCTCCTTCTCAGGAAAATACAAAATCATAAAAGCATGCAAATAAAGGGTTTCTGGGACAGCTGGCACTTGCTCCAGAGTAGGAGTTAGTTTTAGAGTTTAATGGGATAGCTGGCCATTTTCCCTCAGGCCTTTGGACCGTATGGCAATGATTATTCCTGGGCATTGTGATCACATGCAAAGGTTGTATAAGAGAAAGAATCTTTGCTATGGAGAGTTTGTTATTAGGCTTGCTACACTTCTGCAAAATATTTTAAATAATATTTCTTTCTTTCTTTTTTCTTTTTTTTTTTTTTGAGATGGAGTCTCGCTCTATCACCCAGGCTGGAATGCAGTGGTACAATCTCGGCTCACTGCAACCTCCACCTCCTGGGTTCAAGCAGTTATCCTGCCTCAGCCTCCCGAGTAGCTGGGACTGCAGGTGCCCACCACCACACCCGGCTAATTAAATAATATTTCTAAGTGAAATAAAATTCTAGACAGCAGAATGATAAGCTTAGTGTATTAGAACATGATTTCAGAGTCATTCCAGATTACACAGAAAGAGATGGGCCAAACTGTCACTGCCCTCTGCTTTTATAATCAAAGGCTGGATGTATTATCTCTGTGGGGAGAAAGACATGTTGGGCCTAGAGAAGCCTGGCCAGAGTATCAGAGATGGACTTAGAAGCCCAGCAGAGCCTGTTCTTCTTTGCTTTTTTTACTACTGGATTCTGCCTTCTTGACTCTGACTTGACCTGGTCAGGGGAAGGTGGGCAGACAGATTCAGAGGGGCATATGGGCACCATCTCTGGTGTGAGGGTATGCCTGGGTTTTGTAGGATGAACCTTAGAGATTCTTACAACATTAGTGTTAGAAGACATATTAAACATCTAGAGTAGTGATTTTCAAGGCTAGGGTGGGTTGCAGATCAGGATTGTGGTGAGGAGGGGAAAGGATGTGTTGTTTGGAAAAACATATGTAGGATGCCTGTTGTTTCCATAATACAAATTACAAAACACACACTCACCAAAGTTCCCTCTGCTGCAACGGGTATGACGGTGGTCGAGTGTTGCAGGAAGTCAGGGACCCCAAATGGAGGGACCGGCTGAAGCTGCGGCAGAAGAACATAAATTGTGAAGATTTCATGAACATTTATTAGTTCCCAAAATTAATACTTTTATAATTTCTTATGCCTGTTTTACTGCAATCTCTGAACATAAATTGTGAAGATTTCATGGACATTTATTAGTTCCCAAAATTAATACTTTTATAATTTCCTATGCCTGTCTTTAATCTCTTAATCCTGTCATCTTCATAGGCTGAGGATGTATGTCACCTCAGGACCCTGCGATGATTGCGTTAACTGTACAAATTGTAAAACATGAGTGTTTGAACAATATGAAATCAGTGCACCCTGAAAAAGAACAGAGTAACAGTGATTTTCAGGGAACAAGGAAAGATAACCATAAGGTCTGACTGCCTGCGGGGTCAGGCAGAATAGAGCCATATTTTTCTTCTTGCAGGGAGCCTATAAATAGATGTGTGAGTAGGAGAAATATTGCTGAATTATTTTCCCAGCAAGGAATATTAATAATTAATACCCTGGGAAAGGAATGCATTCCCAGGGGTAGGTCTATAGATAGCCGCTCTGGGAGTGTCTGTCTTATGCAGTTGAGATAAGGGATGAAATACACCCTGGTCTCCTGCAGTGCCCTCAGGCTTACTAGGATTGGGAAATTCCAGCCTGGTAGATTCTAGTCAGACTGATTGTCTGCTCTTGAACCCTGTTTCCTGTTAAGATGTTTATCAAGACAATGCGTGCCCAGCGGAACATGGACCCTCATCAGTAATTCTAATTTCGCCCTTGCCTTGTGGTCTTGCTCTGCCCTTTGCCTTGGGATCTTTTATTGCCCTTTGAAACATGTGATCTCTGTGACCCACTCACTATTCATATACCCCCTCCCCTTTTGAAATCCCTAATAAAAACTTGCTGGTTTTGCAGCTAGGGGTCGCCATCACGGTCCTACCAATATGTGATGGCACCCCCGGAGGCCCCGATGTAAAATTTCTCTCTTTGTATTCTTTCTCTTTATTTCTCAGACCGGCTGACACTTAGGGAAAATAGGAAAGAACCTATGTTGAAATATTGGGGGTGGTTCCCCTGATAGTTGAGCAAGAAAGTTTTGTAGAAAATTTGGGTGAAAGAAATGCAGAGATCTTGTTCCAGGCATTCATTTAAGAGGTGAGGAAATGAATCAAGTCTCAGTGGTTGATTGACCTGCCTAGGGATTCATAGTTAATAGTGTAGAATTGAGACTATGGCTTGGCCTCCAGGGTTCTAGCTGTGTGCCTTTTTGTACTCTGCTAATGCCCCTTGCCTCTGTTCAAGTAAGTCATTAGCCATAATGAACAGTTTTGCTGTTTCAGTGTGGTGAAATCCACAGCAAGATAGCTTTCTAGTGACGAAGGTTGTATACAGGGAAGCCCATTTGCTCACTTCCTCCCACCCCATCTGTTCTTTTCCTTAGCATACAGGGCTTTAATGATCTCTACTTGCTGCAATGTGTCTCTCAAGATTTAAAAACAAATGGCAAATTTGTGCCTCAGGAGTCTTGTGAAAACAACATATTACATGTAAGAAACAAATAATTTTATTTTCTGGTTATTTTTCACACTTCTTCCAAATGGTATCATAGGATGCTATGCCTAGTTTCCCTTTCTCTAGTATAAACTATTGGTTTTAATGAAATATCATTTATTACAGATAGTAGGGTTTTATGCATTTTTTTCATTCAGAATCAAAGTGGAATGTGTTCCAAGTGCTTGTGTGCATAGTGAAGTTTTTTTTCCTTTTTGAAATTGTTTCTTGTATTATGTTGTTGCCTCATGCCTCCATCCTGTACTGACAGACGGGTTTGCTTGCTGGGATGTTTACTTCAATGCAGCCAACATATACTGCATGCCTACTGTGTAGACATCTAGAAGGATGTAAAAAGAATGAAGGATGTGAGTTAAGCTGACTATCATTTAAACTTTGGGATGATGGGATAAGAGACTGGAAATTACTTGCTTCAGATGACAGGCTACATCTATTTTCCTTCTAAGAGGACTGTCCTATTACCTTGTCACTGTCACCAGAAGCTGTCGGACTTTCAAGCTAAGATGTTCTCTACTCCTGTCTTTTCTAGCCTGGCAACTGCCTATCTTTGTTTCAAAGCCCTGTTTAATTTTAAAGGAGTGAAAAAGACTGCGGTGTGTGCAGTTTTCTGTGTTGGAGAGATTGGCAGAGTGATTTTCCAGAACCAAGGACTGAGTGGAGCTCAAGTCTTACTTGTTATTTGATCCATAAAGTTTGGAAAGTTCATGATCCTTAAAAAGAACTATATAAGAAGGCTTTTAGTTTTCTTTAAAGCCATAGTGATTTGCCAAAAATATATCCAAAAGAATAACCAGAACAGGACATTCTTCTCTAATTAACTATAAGTTCCCATTTGATGTATTAAGATTTAGGTAAGCAGGGAGAACAAGAGTTAAAATAATTCTTTGTCTTTTAACTGTGATCTTTCCCATCCCTTCCTTTGCTAGGGTAGGACTGGTGGTTGGAGAATTGGATACATAAGGGAAGCTTGTGGCCTCAGTCCAAGATAGGACAATATGGTAGTTCTGGAAGAGATGTAGGAATTCTGAGTAATAGTCCAAGATACCTTTCTCTTTATCCTTTTTCCTGTTTTATTCACTTCCACTTTGATGCATTCCCATTCCACAATCAGTATGTTTTACCTTTACAATAGAAGGTGATACAGACTGCTTACCATAGTTTCTCTTATACCAAAGGGCTACAGCTGTTCTCCATTGAGAGGTTTAGCCAATATTGCATTAGTAGAAATTCTGAGGGATTTTCTTTAACTTTTTCATTGACATTGTGTCTGTTTAAAGTGCAAGTGAATGAAGGAAAAATACAAGAGAGTACACACTCATATGCACATACAGGTACATATATGGTGGCATATGAATAGAAAAAGAAATGGGAGGGAAGGTATCAAACTGGTTTTCTATAGCTAGAATTTGATGGATTTTTGTGTTTTTTTGCTTTATACCTTTAGAAATTGTTAAACATTTTTTGAGGCAAATAAGTTTTACTTTCATAATCAGGGTAAAAAAAAGTTTTCCTATTTGAAAAATAAAAGTTACAGGGAACTTTTAGAACATTGCAACTATTCTATGTCTTATTGTAATGGTGGAAATAATTCATTTGTCCAAACCCATACAATATAGAAAACAAACAGTGAACATGAACTGTGGACCTCAGTGAATAAAAAAGTGATCAATTTTAGCTCATCAGCTGTAAAAAATATAGCCTCCTATGTTAATACTAGGGGAACCTGGGAAGTGGGAGAGGAGGGACTATATGGGAACCCTCTGAACTTTCTGCTTACTTTTTTTTTGTAAACATAAAACTGCTCTAAAAATAAAGTCTATTATTTAAAAATAAAAGTAATATACAATATTGTTAAATTTGGGGTGGTAACTAAACATGTTGCTTAATTGCCTCCTTTTTTGTTAGTTGCCCATAACAGAGCAGTTGCTTACGAAGCAGCACTTACCTACAGCAGCACTTCCTTATGAAGTTTCTGATAATAATGATATTTTCATCATATATATATATGTACACACACACACACACACACACACACACACACAGGTGTCAGCTTTCCCAGTGGAACAAAAGGAGCTGGGAAGATTCTAGTGACTGTGGTTACTTGAGGGTACTTCTTATATTCTTAGTAGTTCCAGACACTTGCTTATGGAAAAGAGGAAACTAATTTTCATGGAGTGCCCACTCTGTGTTGGGCACTGCGGTAGGTGTTTCGCATGTCCTCATGCAGCCTTTAATACAGGTACCATCCTTACACTGAAGATGAGGAAGCAGCTGAGCAAGATCACAAGCTAGCAGAGACAAAGCCTAGAATTCAAATCCTATGTATTTTTTTAAAAAATAATCATAACACCTTGGAGTGCCCTTAGCAACAAGCATATAACAAAGCAACAGAGCAATAACAGCCCCTGCAAGTTTAGTTAGAAATATTTTGAAAAATGAGAAAAGTACTTTAATAGCTAATTGTATCTTTGGATTTATTATACTCAAAACGATGACACAGGTTAGTTTGTTATGTACTAGGCAAATTTAATACCTTATTTTATATATTTTCTTACAAGATGCTATTTTGATCCTATGAAGCCATCATTTGACATTTTGGCAGTAACATTAGGCATCTAATTTCACTTTCTTTGTTCCTGTCAAACGATCCCCACAAGTACAAAGTGCTGTGTCAGACTCATGTGAAAACTTTGAAGAGTTTGAAATAAGACAGCTTAAAGTGGGAAATATTCTCTTATTAGTGATTGGTGTGAAAGAAGGCAGTGAGAATGTGCACCAGAAAGTGATCTGGTACTGCAGCCTAGGAAAATAAAGGCAGAAAGGAAGGGTGTTAGGAACAAGTGGCACAGATTGGAGAAAGCAGAAGCTGCTAGAAAGACTTTTGAAACAAAAAGACGTCTTTCTCTCAGAAGAACCAGAGTGTGTCAGGCACAATCTGGAAGTAAAACCCACACATCTATGTGCGTCTGTGCGTGCATACACATACACATGAATGGCGAATGGCAGTTTGTTGCAAAATGTCAAATGATGGCTTCATAGGATTAAAAATAGCATCTTATAAGAAAATATATAAAATAAGGTACTAAATTTGCCTAGTACATAGCAAACTAAGCTGTGTCATAGTTTTTGCACCATTGCAAAAGTTGGTACCTGGAACCCTAATTTGTAAAATTTATTAATCCTTCTGTTAGTGTCTGAGTTGAATGAGGGCCTGAATTTACAAGTGAAGAGATAAAACATTTCCTAAGTTGTTGTGTGGATCTTTCATAGGAATGCCAAACAACCTATTGCTAATGTTGCTTTTATTGGAGAGGTTTGCACAGTGACAATATTTTTCCTGCTTGATTTTACTGAGACCAAAGCATCACTATTGTGCTTATAAGAAATGTTCTTCTGTTAATTATTTACCTTGCTTGATGTAGGTACATGAGATAAATTTTGATAATTCCTTAAATTTACATTTTCTTCACTAAGAGTGGGAGCTAATGTTTGGCTTGAGGTCATATGAAGTTGATACAACCAAAATTTTGCACCCAATACTGCTAGTTCTCTTCTAGCTTTAATATTTTGGTTCACTAGTTCATTAGTCTCAGTCCCTTTTTCCTTAAAAAAATTCACAATTATAGTTTAATGTAACTCATATATACTTGTCACACAAGAAATGCATATTTAAAAGTAGTGATTTATCTTGATTTTTAAAAAATTTTGCAGCTTTATTAGAAAATTAATGACTTGATTATTTTATTCATTAAAATTAATTGATGATAATCTTAAGCACTGGGAATTAGCTGTGTCCATCTCAGTAGGTTAACCTTGTATATGTGAGATATATTAGTAAAGCTCTAGATTTTAAGGATTAATGCTTGTTAGGAAAAACAATACATCTAATCATATTCCTCAATAAAAAGCATCCTGGAAAGCACTTGATCTAGTCTCCTTAGTGCTGGGGCTGTGGCAGGGAATTCTTTGGCTTGAGACCCATGGCAAAGTTCCCTGGGGCAGAGACCTGGTTCTCTAGAAATGAAGACACATAATCTGTGCATAGCAGAGCCAGGAGCAGTGTCTTGGGAATTTTCTGAACTGGAAGTGAAAGTCCACCTGATGATTAGAGGGAGGAAAATGCTTGTAAAGGCATGCTGTAGGGAAGGTCAATAGCCTGGAAGAAATTCAGATGCTTTTTATGCTATTCCTGCCTCAGATAATGGAGTTTTTGACTATGATCTATATAATGTAATGTAATTTTTACTGATATATATCCCATTGTCAAACTTCCATTTATATAGCATCTTTAAATTTTTACTAGGGAAAAGGTAAGCATTTTCACCCTATTTTCATAGAGCTGCCAAGTTATGACTTTGGTTTTGTAATTTAAAATGAAATGGATTAAAAAAATAAATTATCATTACTCCTTGGAGTGTCCTTGGTAACAGGCATATAACAGAGAAACAGAGCAATAACATGCCTTGCAAGTTTAGCCAGAAAGATTTTGAAAAATTAGAAAAGCACTTTAATAGCTAGTTGCATAGGCACATAATACTGGAGCCTGGAGGGAGGTGACCTGTGGAAGTACAGTTAGGATTGGGAATTAGGAGAGGTAAATTCTAATCTGCTTTTGATAAACCCTGACCTTCGTCAAGGAATTTAACTTCCCATCATCTCAGGTGGCTTTGATTGGGGGTGGGGTAAGGAGAAATACACTTTTTAGTCTACAAAATGTAGGGTTTGGCCTAATGATATATAAGCTCCCTTTCAACTAATACTGTGTTCGTCTGGAACAGATGGTAGAAAGAGCACTGGCCTTAGAGTCATGAGGTAGGACTTCTAAATTCCTGTGCTGGGCTGTTGGTCTCTTCTACTCTGAAATGAAATATGAAGCTAGATTATTGTCTCAGAATTTCTAGATAGAAAATTATCTGTTTTCTGGCTGTGTTCATGTGGTATTTGCATATATTTGCAAAAAGCTGGTAGGAATGATCAGGTTTCATTTCCAAGCTCCAGATCTGTTGTTCATGTGATCTTAACCCTCTCTGCAGTCAACAAATGAAGGATAAGAAAATCTCAGTTTTTAAATCGTATTGGAAAGTTCTTTCTTAAACTTCTCATATTAGAAAGTTTTTGGCTGCAAATCACAGATAGCCTTTACTCAGATGGTTTAAACAAATATACAAACAAGAATGTATTGTCTCACACAGTAAGTCCGGAGGAAAGGTGAGGCTTCAGATGGTGAAGATAACCCTTCCCCATCTCTGTGGAGCTCTCTCCTTAGCTCTGGCTTCATTCTAAAATAGTGACCCTTAGGTTAGTCACAAGATGGCAGCTTGTGGCAAAATATCTAGCGAGAGAGAGAGAAACTTTTTCTCCTTAGCACTTGCCACACTCTAACAAAATACTTATTTTACACGTTCCTTTTTTGTGATTGTCTCTCTCCACCAGATAAACATCAGGTGGGCAGGATTTTTACTTATTTTTTTTCTTTTGTTTCAGTGTTGTGTCTCCAGTACCTAGCACAGTGCCTTGCACAGAGTAGTCACTCAGTAAACATTTATTGAATGAATGAATGAGTTCTCTTAACTCATTACATAAGCGAGTATTGCATTGCATATATTCCTGAGTCTTAAAACTATGCTTTCTATATTTTTGAAGGCATTTAATGATAGATATTACACTATGTAAATCTGGTTAAACATTTTTGGACATCATTGTTTTTATTCCACTTGTTTTAAAAGTTTAATTTTACTTTTCATCTTCTAAAACTATTATATAGAAATATTCTGGGGGAAATTTAAATCAGAAAATTGATTAAGTCCCTTATTTGAACTTATTTGAATTACTCTTGTTTTGGTTTTCTTTTTTTTTTTTTAAGATGAAGTGGTAGTTTAAAACTACAAAGAAAGAAAATATCCAAGTTTACATGTATGGCATATAGGCAGGTAGAAATTGTTTTTGCCAGCTCACTTTTCTGGTGTCACTTACGTTTGAATACATTCCTAGCAAACCTTCTCATAAGACTTGTAGTACATTGTATTATTCGTATCACAGGTAATAGGCACTACTCAATGCTAACCTTTTAATAGGCATGTACATTTTTATTTCAGGTAATCTAATATCTGTATGAGGTTTTCTGAAAAAATAAAATGAGAATTTTTTTGTCTCCTTGGTGACACTATTATGTCACTAAGTTAGGGTGGCAGTTTCTAGCCATTAATAGCTGTTCTCTTAAGCTCTCCTAGAATAGTGCATTCAGTTAGTTTTATGTGAAAGGACACCATCTTTTCCAACAGTAATCTATTCTGTGTATTCCTGCTGGATGAACCTTACAGAGGCCCACCTTTTATTTAACTCTCCTGTCTTTTTTTATATAAAATAATAATTAAACTCCATAAAAACCTGAAGAATGAGGACCCAAACCTTTGTCTCCAACTTTGTCCCCATTACTTTACTTCAAACATTTTGGTTTTCAACCAAAATAAACTACATATTTTCCCATCTGTGACTCTTCTTCTTCCCCCAAACTCAAGTTCCTTGAGCTTAGAATGCTGCATCTCATTATAACATATCCATAGGTTCCTCCAGAGCAGCTCATGTGGGACCTGTACTATAAGGTTCCACACTTGGCTCCATTGGGAGTTCTCTCTCCTATTTCTCCATTGCTCTAATATTTCAGTTGTTCAGTTGTTACACTCTCATGCACTTACAAAGATCTGCTGTAATAAAGTTATTTATGGCTCTTCTCACCCACTTAAGAGGAGTAGTTTTGCTTTAAGATCCTTCTTTGAACTGCCAGTCTGTGCTGTTGCTGAACATGTTCTTGGCTAGCTTCAGGAAATGTTTGAATGGAGACAGACTCATTTTGTTAGAAGTAGCTGATCTGCACATTTCCATCACACTAAGCAGTACCCCAGATTCTAAAATGGGAAAAACATATCTATTTATTTATTGAGGTAGTAAGAACAAAAGGAAAAATGTAAAAACCTGTCAGTCACCCAGTGCCCCATGCCAGAGTAGGTTAGGACCAGGATCAGGGAAATGGGTAGGTGTGGCCAACCGTAGGTGTCATCAGTCACCACCTGGTTGTGGGCCCATCACTTCCCTCGGTTTTATGAGGTAATTCACTTGGAAAGGATGAAAATCACCTGAATAACCAAAGTGGCCCCCAGCATCCTAATGTTGGGGCTTGGCCTCTGTATAGGCTCCTGCCCTCCACATCACCCCACTCTCCTTCCTCCCTTCACCCTTATCAGGAACAGTTTGCTTTCTGGTTGGTCCAGTCCATTTCCCCAAAGCTCTCCTGTGTGGAGTAGAGGCAAGCAGGGCCTGATTGCTCATTATTCTCTTTCCTTTTAAGATCCCAGCAGAAGAGTTTTTGGGTGGCAAGAATACTTATTTATTTTGGTTCAACTGCTTTATCTTACTTAGGGAAGGAGGGTTTGTAATTGTATATATCAAAACATTTCTCTAGGCAGGTTATGCCAAGCAATCTGGAGGTGTTCTTGGATGCTTGTCTACTCCAGAGCTAACCTACGCATAGTATGAATTTTGCTTATATTCCAGAAGGAGTCAAATGTTAAAAGTTTTTTGGCATTTGCTATATCTTTCCATATCTTCCGAGGTTAGATAATCACAAAGAGAAATAGGTGGTCAATACATATTAGCTGAATAAATCAATAAATACTTTGTTAAATAAGTACCTGCCTTAGAAGAGAGTAGAAAGCAAAGGAATTAAAAAATATTTTAATTAATTTTTATTAGCTACATTTATAATATAAAAGAATAGATTATCCAGATAAAAAATTAAACTAAATAATTAATATTAAATAAACAGTAAACCACCAATCTACCCATACTTTATCCCCTGAGCTCTGTTTTCTTCCACATGGGTAATTTCTTTTCATAGCTTGAGTACATCCATCACCTCTACTTTCTTTTTAAATGCATACAGTTCTCAACTTGATGTTTTTCCCCATAGACATGTTACAATATTGGTAGTTAGAGAACTATATTTTTAAATATCTACATGATTTTTATGTTATATAAATGTACCATATTTTATTTAACCAGAGTAAATTTTATTTAACACAATAAATGACAGTTTAGGTTATTTCTAATATTTTACTGTTTATGAAGAACATTGAAATGACCATTCTTATTAATGTGTCTTTGCTTATTTCTGCCCCTGTTTCTTAAAAGATAAATTCCCAGGAGAAATGCAGGTTCAAGGGCTACGAAAAATGTAATTTTTTTAGGTGTTTACTAGTCTTCCTTCCCACCACAATAACTCTGACCTCAAAGAGTGTCCAAGTGTATTTATTTGTTCACATCCTTGTCAGTGTTATCATTGGATTAATTTTATTCTGAGTTTCATGCATTAATTAACGTTTATCTCTGCCTTCCTCCCATTCTGTTTGTTTTGTGTGTATGTTGGGGGTGGGGTCTGTCAAGGCATAAGCATGTTTTCTTTTTTTTTCTTTTGACAGAGAGTCTTAACCTGTCGCCCAGGCTGAAGTGCGGTGACATGATCTTGGCTCACTGCAACCTCTGCCTCCTGGGTTGAAGTGATCCTCCCACCTCAGCCTCCCAAATAGCTGGGACTGCAGGCTTGCATCATCATGCCTGGCTAAGTTTTTTAGTAGAGGTGAGGTTTCACCATGTTGGCCAGGCTTACCTCAAGTGATTTGCCCGCCTTGGCCTCCCAAAGTGCTGGGATTACAGGTGTGAGCTACTTTGCCTGGCCTGAGCCACAGTGCCCAGCCAGTTTTCTCAGACTTTAAACTCTGCAGTGTTTCAGGTAGAAGCCTGGCAGTATGGCCTGGGAACTAGACCTGACTCTTGGCCCAGCTTGGCTGTTGGCTCTCTGTTGCTACCTTGAATAAGTGCATTTTATTTCTTTATTCCTCATTTTCCTGGGGGGTAAATATCAAAAGTTTAATACCTACTTGACTTTTTTTCTAAGCCTCTGAGATTGAATTGGAGCAGCAGAGGGCTAGTGAGGGGAGGACACATCCCAAATTGGATGATTTTCAACATTCTGAGCCACATTAGTCTTATCTGAAAAAGTGCATCAAATGGGCTAAATGTCTTTCAGTGTCTGATTAAATCTGCCAATCAATGAATCTGTATTCAAAGTGATATGAAAGAAACAAATGTCCCATGCTAATAACACTAAGAGGTTCCTATTCCATCTAGTGGGTTTCATTGGGGCTTTGAAATAAATAATTGAAAATTGATATAATTTTATTTTTGCCTATTCGTTGGCTGAAATTACGACCATCCACAAATACCTTCTTATGTGTTCTCCTTCTTGTCCCTTTTCTTACTCTGTTTATTGATTTGTGGGACACATAAAACCCACTTTAAATTGTCTACTTCCAGTTTCCTCATTGATTGAGTTTAGATGTTTGTTCTTGCCAAATCTCATGTTGAAATGTGATTCCCAGTGTTGGAGGTGGGGCCTGTTGGGAGGTGTTTGGGTCGTGGGGGCGGATCCCTCATGAATGGCTTGGTGCTCTTACGGGGCAGTGAGTTCACTTCACATCTGGTTGTTTAAAAAGGAGCCTGATACCTCCCCAAATCCTCTTGCTTCCCGAGCCCTTGCTTCCTCTCTCATCATGTGATATGCTGCTCGCTCTTCACCTCCTGCCATGACAGAAATCTTCCTGAGGCCTCACAAGAAGCCGAGCAGATGTGAGTGCCATGCTTATATAGCCTGTAGAATTGTGAACCACATAAACCTCTTTTCTTTTGAATTACCCAGCCTCAGTATTTCTTTATAGCAACACAAAATGGACTAATACACTTATAATTGTTACTTTATCTTATCTTGGACAAAGTGGTGTTAGGTTTTTACACATGACATTCAAACATTAATTTAGGGACCACAAACTTAGAGGTCCAGCAATAATAGGGTATAAGAGCTCTGCGCTCTTGGGGATTGGAGAGGGTGGGGAGCCATAGCAGTGATGCTTGTTGAAGGGGCCAGTTGTGTAGCTCCAGCCACATAACTTTTACCACATCGTGAAGCACAGGATGGCAGAGGTTCTGATTTTTATAGAAAAGCCAGAGTGTTTATTTATGTGAAAATTTCTGATCTTTAAATACCTGACAAAGATTAAAAAATACTGCACAGGGTACTTAAACCAAGTCTGCGGGTTGGATCTGGTTCTACTGTAAATCCATGTATGGTTAGAACATCGTCTTCCTTTTCTTATTGATACTGTCTTATTGTTAACAAACTTATCTCATGCTGAATAAAATGTTGGGATACAATTTCAGTTTCCGACATGTGCTTTTAGAAATAAATGATACTTTCAAAGCAAAGCTTTTACCATCTTTCCATAATCTGAAATGTGTGTGGAAATAAAATAATGCCTTTTTAGTTATAGCATTAATATATAACATTTCACCCACTTATGAAAGGAAAACTCCTAATGACATCCTATAGGATATTTCTTTGCTTCTTTTTAAAATTCTGTGACATCTATAATCTCCCTTTGTTTGTCAGTTAATAAGAAAATGAGAATGGATTTATTTTTTATCAGTGTATTCAGGGTGAACTGAATGCATTGTAGTGAGATAACCAATCTACAGCAGAGTGCAATGCTAGATACTGTGCTCCTTGCAGTGATTTATGGAGGATCCTGTAATGATTTTATTTTTCTTGTTCATGCATGCGTTATTCAATCAGCACTTAATAGGCATTTTCTCTAAACTCAGCACTGAATTGAGTGCTATGGGCACAGCAGGAGTAAGTGTAAATAATGAGTGAGTGGGGGATATAGACAGGTGGGAATAGGTCATCAGGTTATTATAATACTGTGACAGGACAACACTGCTGAGAGAAGGTTAGAAAAGGCACCTCACTTAACCTTGGGGGTCAGGGAACACTTCCAAAGAAAATGATAACTAAGTTAAGATCTGAAGAGATGGTGGGAATTGGTGAGGCCCAGAAGCTGTGGAAGAGGGAACAGAAAGGACAATGTCTCCTAATTTTGAAAGACCATGGGGGATTGAAGATCTGAGAAAAGCACCATATGGCTGGAGTTCCAAGTGTGATAGGGAGTCGGGAGCTGCATGGAGACCTCTCCATCAGGAGCCTGTTGTGCGGGCTCTTCTAAGTCCTGTTAAGCAGCTGTTGAGAGGTTTTAAGAAGAGAAGTGACTAGATCAGATAAAGGCATTTTTCAAAAGCTGATTTGAGCAGCAGTTTCCTCTTTAGCTCCCCCTTTACTTATTACTGTCTTCTTAAACCTCTTTAGTCCAGGTGGTGATGCTGCAAGTGAACAGTTTTCACAACAATCAGGATATATCTGATGTCCTTTTAGTCTTCTTAGCTTCAGGTTTTTCTGCCTTCCAACACCTGGAAGGATATGAAGATAAAGGGAAACCATGACCACAGCAAAAAAACTAGGAATGGATGCAAGAAAACTAAGACAAAAGGAAAAGCAGAAAATATTTATTTTATTATGAAAATGGAATTGTACTGTGTCAGGAATCAGGAGGCCAGAATTTGAGACCTATGACCAAATTCTTTTATATTTTATTGTCCTCAATGGTCAAATAAAGGGTTGGATTGGTGTGTTTGAAGGTGACCCTGAGTTTTACAATTCTGTGAGGGTTATTTCAGTTGTGCATGGTGAATCAATCACCCTGTGTATCAGTCAAATTACAAATATATTCAGTGCACTAAGATTTTATATATATGTGTGTGTATGAATGTGTGTGTGGGTAATGTACATGAAACAAGATGAAAACTTATTAGAAAGGGAAGCATGGGTCAGTAGAAGGTTGAGTGCATTTGAGAAGATGATGGTAATGCTAATAATGGGTGGATGTTTGCCATAGCTCTCAGGAGCTGCCTGTCTCTTATGGAAAGGCAGGTTGTATGAGCAGGAGCTATTGTCAATACCAGTCACAAGTGTACATTGCAGAGACTGTCCCCTCAACTGTTTGTAACCCAAACTGTCCAGGAGTCAGATAGTTTCTTACCTAGAGGAATGTATGATAAGGTTACCTCTTTCTCCAATTCCTCTGTTTGACAGTGCGTACAGAGATGCAAGATTTCTGGAGAATTTAAGGCCATAATAGAGAAACCTGTTTTTCTTCCCCTTTGTCATTTTCTTGAATACCTGTTTTTTTTTTAATTATTATGACAATTTGAAGTTACCTTGCTAATTTATTTATTATTATTATTTTTAGAGACAGAGTTTCCCTCTTCTACCTAGGCCGAAGTGCAGTGGTGTGATCATAGTCATAGTGTAACCTCAAATTCTTGGGCTCAACTCTCACTCTGTCACCCAGGCTGGAGTGTTGTGGCGTAATCACAGCTCACTGCAGCCTCAAACTCCTGGGTTCAGGTGATTCTCTTGCTTTAGCCTCCCGAGTAGCTGGGACTACAGGCATGTGCCATCATGCCCAGCTAATTTTTATTTGTTATAGATATGGAGTCTTGCTATGTTTCCGAGGCTGGCCCTGAACTCCTAAGCTCAAGCTGTCCTCCCACCTCCACCTTTCAAAATGCTGGGATTACAGGGGTGAGCTGCTGTGTCTGGCAAATCTTTTAATGTTATTATTTTTTGTATTGAAGTAGTTTCCCTAGTATCAAGGAGATTTAGGATGTCTTTATTTTCAGAAAAAGTTGGAAGGAGAATAATCTCAAGCTTATTAAATAACATTTTGCTATATGTAACTTTGCATAAACCATTTTATTATCACAGACTTCTAAATGCTGAACACTTGCGATAAGTCACTCTACCCTTTATAGGTATGTATTCCTGTCTTGCTTTTATGTATTTCCAGATGTAGAATAGCCTCTTTCAATGCTGCATTAGCTGGAATAATGTGAAGCAGAAAAGTTAAACAGTTAAAAATGAAAGAAATGAGCCCACTCAGAGGCTGGGACTCCCCAGTCTTTGCCACCATATGGTTGGAAGGCCTTAGTGCCTTTTCTTAGATTAAATATCTCATAAACACCCCGAACATTTGAGTGATGCTAGCATTGGCCAAGCACGGTTATTAGCAGCCGAGCATTACCGGATACTGACAAGGAGGACAGGTACAAGTGATAGAGAAGCAAATTGGGACTCAGTGTATTAGTGACATTCATGTAAGTGGCAGAGCTCGCTCAGGGCTGAGGTGAACTTAGGTGCTCACAAGGCCACTGCTGAGTAGAGTCAGCCTGAGGGATTTTAAGGCTTGTCCAGGCCTAGGAGGATGACTGCCTGAAGGTGAACTGACACTTTGGGTAACACAGGCTCTGGGACTGTGGGCCTTCCAATGAACTGTGCTGTACTTTGTAGTTTTTTCAGCTTTGACTTTGTTTCAGTCAAATGAAGTAGTGGTATGTTTGAAATTTTAATTCAGCTCCAACCAAAATCTGTATTCATTTTTTATGGTCTTTTCTTTCTCTTCCTTCTGTGCTCATAATCTGTTTTCATTATGATCAGATCTGCTGATTGTATATGTTTATCAAAGCACTGGTTCTAAGGTAATTTACAGCAAATCTTACTCTTTCACAGATTTTAGAATTGTAGTGGGATTGGAAAGGCCATATAATTACGACCTTATCAACAGTTCATTAATAATGAAAAACTTTGTTGGCTGACATTTTTTGGGCTTTTCAACTGAACGGGAAAAAACTGCACACATCAAAATACCATCAAATTTTCAGAATGAAGAATTTCCTTTGCCTTCTAGCTCAAGACTATCACTTTCAGTAGAATCTACCTCAGTAGCTTTGTGTGTGAGAGAGGGGAAACCCAAGGAAGAAAAGACAAAGACAGACACTAGATACATGAACTGAGGGACTGACTTAGCTGTTTCTGTTGATATGCTTGTAGAGCAGCAAGTAGGTTGAAGTGTAACTAAATACGTAAACACACAAACACACACACACACTCACACACACCATAAACATGCTACCCCTCTCCCTCTGTGAGAGCCATAGCACAGTGATTTTTAAACTTTAGGATGTGTAAATGTTAAATGGACAGTTTGGTTGAAATATGGAATATAAGCTTCATGAGAACAAGAGTTTTTTGTCTGTGTTACCTCTGTTTTATCTCCAGTGCCTTGTGGTTGGCATGTAGTAGATGTTAAATAAATATGTATTGGGTGATTCGTGGGTTCCATCCTTATAAACTTATATTTGGTAGCTTTGGGATAGGACTCCATGAATCTGCATTGGTATCAGGCACACCAGTTGACTTTGATGTAGTTGGTTGGAGGGCCATACTTTGAGAAGCACTGCATGATGAGCCTGGAGCTGCGGCTGTTGCGAATGGTGAATGGTCTGTTTCTCCATAAAGGGAGGTGGGTTCTAATTTGCTTAAGAATATGCTGCAGAACTACCTTGTTTTGTGGAGGAGTCTGACAGTGCTTTACCTCTTGACCACAGTCTTACAAAGTTGAGTATCTTATGTGCCTTTGGGTGCTGGGACTTGTAGCCATGGCAAAGGAGATGTTTTCTGACTTTAAACTTATCTGTAGAAGATACAGATGTGTAAATCTTATGTGTAAAAGCATACAACAATAGCTATTCACATACATTCATTTAAAGAGAGGTTGATTTAAATCTATTCAGACAGCAAGGTCAGGCACAGTGTATCATGCCTGTAATCCCAGCACTTTGGGAGGCCAAGGTGGAAGAATCACTTGAGTGCGGGAATTCGAGACCAGCCTGAACAACATAGCAAAACCTCATCTCTACAAATAACTAGAAACAAACAAACAACAACAACAACAACAAAACATTAGCCAGGGGTGGCGGCAGGTGCCTGTGGTCCCAGCTGCTCAGGAGGATCACTTGAGCCTGGGAGGTTGAGGCTGCAATGAGCTGTGATTACACCTTGCACTCCAGCCTGGGCAATAGAGCAAGACCCTGCCTCTAAATAAATACATAAATAAAATATACGTAAATACAAATCTAGTCAAATAGTAATAGCTAATATGATATGAATGGTTATTCTTCTTAACCAGAAAACATAAGGGGCTTGGTGCGAAACCACTCATCTTTTTTTTTTTTTCAATCACATACTTTGTAGTGCTCTTGTTAACTGTACATGTAACCCATGTGTAATAAAGTATAAAATAGTTAAAATGAAGCAAACTGCCTAACGGCTTTTAAACCTAGTTTTTATGGCCAGACCAAGATTAAAAAATAAAAAACCTGTTATCAGGTCTTGCAGAAACCCTCAGTCCCTAAATTGTCTCTTTTCCTCCTGAAGACAGTACCTGGATTATAATCAACACCATTCCCATCCTTGTTGCTAAGTACATTTCCTTTCCCCAGAAGTTACTAGCAAGATGTTTGCATTTAAGAAGAGCCACATGTCTAGCATTTATGTAGTACCTGCATTTGTTTGGATCTTTCCCATCACAAATAGGACCAAGATTAACTAGAGCATGGAACAGCAGAAGAGGGTCATTTACAGGTTGAACTAGCAGTGAATGGAGACAGCAAGATTGAAAATGTTTTGCACTGAGTAAATTTTAATGCAGGAAAGTAACTATTTAGAAAAGAAACAGATTTAACATGTTAGATTAATATGTGATATGAGAGCAAATTACAGGCTGATACAGGGTCTACAGTGTACCAGGATAGAAAAAGAGATCCTTAATATACATATTTCCACCAGTATCCAAGTGAGGAGGGATTAGAAGTGAAGAATATTACTGCAGTTATAATGATTCATTATTGTATTATAGTTCCATATTGTATAAACACCTGTATGCTTTTTATTTAATAGTGTTGTTTCAGTTCTTTAGCAAATTCACTTGTAATAAAAACTTTTCCAGATATCTCCTTTTTAGTATAAAAGCAATATATCTTTATCATAAACAATTCAAATGATGCAGAAAGATATATGTAGGATATTAAATTATTTCTATATCTCTTCTCAGCTATAACTATAATTTGATGAATAGATTATTCCTTTTTAAAAATGCAGTCAATTGGTGGTGATTTGGTAGCAGATTAACTGGTTTGAATATTAATGTTGGTAAAAATAACAATACATTTGTGAAAAAATTTAAATGCTTTGAACCAGGTAAATTCTACTAGGTTGAACCACGTACAATTGCTGTGTTAGTAGGTAAAAAATGTCAAATATTGGCAGTTTCATGTGGTCAAGCTGTAGTATTAGAGGAGTGTGTTCTTTACAGTGATTTAGTAACCAGTTGATGTGGGCATGTGAGTCCACAATGTGGAAGTAGCCTGTATCTCACCGCTCTTTGCCAGTAGTCAGGTGACAGATAAATAGGTATCGATGCTAAGGAAGGGGGAAATGGTTTAGGCTGTAATTTCCAATATCACATTTCAGTTCTATGATGTTAGGGAAATTAGAGAGAAGCAGAGCAAGAGAAGTGTGTAGTGGGATTGAATTTTTGCCCATCTCCAAACTGAAAAACTCTTAAGAAGCAAGTGAAAACAGTACACCTTTTCGTAGATATAAAACAACTTACATGATATTTTAAAAGTATTCCTAACCTGTTGTATTACCTTTCCAATTTTGGATGACATCTGGTGAACAAAAAACATCTCTAAATCCTGAATGTGATTTTAGCTAAATTAAGGATTACATGACACCACATTTATTTTAACCTTACGTTTAGAGTTGGCTATGACCTCTTTCCTCCATAACCCACAGTTGACTCTTTGTACATATGTGTGTATAAAGAATAAAAAGCAAATATGGGGTCCAACATTTAATTCTATTTTTTAGCCCTATTCCTCTATTTTTTCATTCATTAGTTTATGGTTCTGTGTGTGGAGTGTTTATTGTATTAGATATCACTAAGGAGAAGGTCCAGATTGATCACAGTCACAGTGTTTATCATTGCTCTTCCAGTGTTTAGGCCAAGCAGGCAGCATGCATTATAGAACCATGAATGCACTAACCCGGAGCTGCGTATCAGTGCTCAGCGTACGCACATGTTCTTTCTCTGCTAGACTGTCTCCTCATTACAGACAGTTAAACAAGCAATCCTGTCTCTTTTGTGCATGCAATTTTTAAGTCCCCTCTTTATATTTCCCCTCAGAATATTTTAGCTATGAAAATATTCAGACTCCACTGGCAAGTAAGGGAGATGGAACTTAGTAGTTAAAAGTAGTTTTACTATTTGTAGTAAAAGTAAATTTCAACAGCCTTAAAGCTGTCAAGCTGTGGGCTTGAAAAAAAAGTTGATGTTTGTTGTGGTTGTAGCTTGAGATATAGTTGGGTCCTTAGGTTTCATGAGTAGTCATTCTGGGAAAGTCAGGCAGCAATCCCTCTACTCCACTCTGCTGAGAAAGAACACATAAGATGAAAGGAGCCTGTGAATGTCTTTTTTCTCCCAGAGACTAAAGGCGAAGTGATGGCGGATGGGCTGTGTGTCTTTGTAATCTCTTTTTTCCTAGTAGGACATCAAATAATGATCTAGAAAATTATCTCAAATATTAAAGGTTTTTTTCCCCTTTATTAACAATGGTTTTGGAAAAAAAAAACACACCACTACAGTGGGTATCTGATAAAATGAACTTACTCTGATTTTCTGTATTATCTCAAAATTTATTTTAATCATGATGGGACTAGAGTTTGGATGAAATTCATTTCTTCCAAGTTGGAGTGAAAAATTAAGTTGTTTATTCTCAAAGTGGGATGCCAAGGTTTGAGTATGGCTGCGAATATGAATCTGAATCCTTCTGCCAACCTAAGGGAAGGCTCCTTGCATCCCTCTATCCTACTGGGACTTTGTCAGAGCACAGCTACCTCTATGAGCAAATGTTTTTCTGTTTTTGTATAGTTTTGACACCACAGCCCCTAAACTATTGTTATAATTTTCACCCTTAATTCTAATTACAAGTCTTTTGCATCATGTGCAATTTTACCTTTTCAAATCTCACTGGTGAAATAAATTTAAAACATTGCCATATGTTTACCTAAAATTTATGATGAAACCAAGGATGCTTGAATTACTAATGCTAATGTTACAGGATTTTTGTAGATAAACAATGACAGAATAACATGTCTTGTGTTTATGATATTATTAGGATTACATGGAGTATGATTTTGACAGTGCTTGTCTTGATGAGGGAGACACACTGGCTCTAGAACTTGTAGGTGTTAATCTCTGGACTGACTTGGCAGCTAGGAGACTCCCTTGCCTTGCTAACAGCAGGAACTGTAGTATCTGGCACCTCACTGGGACCAGTGGCTGCTGCCTTTGGCAGCCTCAAAGTTAGTCATGTCTGTCACCTACCGTGATGTTGGTACATATCGTAGGCTGTTTTCTGTCCATTAATGCCATTTTTCTGCCATCAGCTTTGAAATTAGTGGCTCTGTGCTTTTCCAAGTATGAATTCATTATGTTAATCTTAAAAGCAAGAGGGCTTGTTTCAAATTCAGATGTTGGTATTTATTTAACTGACAGTGTGTTTCAAAAGTTTATATAAATATGTTTTGAAATCTAAAATCTGTCATAATTATTGAGATTTATTAGGATGTAATGTGGAGGCTTTCAGGTTTCATCTAAGTGGTCAAAAATATAATATGAAAAATGACTTGATGCTTTTCTATAATATTAGTCACTTTCAAGAAAAAACATTTTCTTCTTAAGATGAATGTTGGCAGGAATTTGATTTTACTGAAATTGTGGGACAAACACAGTAGGAAATGATGGGTGTGAAGATATTACTTTGAGAAGTGAGAAACAATTTAGGTGTAAGTGGTAAGAGAAGAAAGGCAGTAATTGGGGGAAAACGGTTAAAGAAAATCCTGTGTCAAAGCGTCCTCTGGGTATGAGATTCTCACTGAAGTGGAAGCTTTAATACCTTTATGGAGTTGTTGCCAATAAGGATGGATCATCTCTGAATTTGACAACCTGAGGTATTAACTTGAAAAATGGAATTTGACAAGATTGCAAATAATGTTCAATAATATGTTTCCAAAACTTGCTTCACAAAGCCATGTGCCTTTCTTACAACATGATATTCAGGGGCCCTTAATTCATTTGATCTGAAAAGTTCCCGTGCAGGCTAGGTGTTATGTACCATACCTTGCCATCATTTAAAAATACCCTGCTGTGGTTTGAAATAATGATCTCTGAGGATGTGTGCACCTCAGAAGACTGGTGCAGAAGCAAGTATCACTTTTAAAATGAGCCTATGCGATCCCCAGATTAATATCTGAAAGCTAGCTACCTAATAAAGTTTTAATTGCTTAAGGCTACTGGGCTAGTTGAATAATTGAAAGAAAGAAGATTGTAAATTATTAGAATTAACAATACTAAACTCTGTGGTAAATGTATAGTGATTGTTTCTTCAAAGTTAATGTGCTGTGATTTTACTGTTATTGTAATTACTTTCTCACTTGAGTGCTGGTTTATAAAGCTCAGATAAAATAAGCCTGTAGATATTTTTACAATAAGGTTTTTAGTGTGCAAAACTAAGTTTCTCCTGGCAGATATGTGTAGGGCAGAAGAGAAGTCCTCTCTACCATAGTTAGTGTCTACTTTTCTTGCCTGGGAATATACATTGTTGCTCCAGATTCAGTTCCGGAGGGAACACCCTTCTTATTGCCTTCCCCACCGATCAGTTATCAGACTGCCTTCTTTTGACCAATATATGTTTATAAAAGTTTATATTTGGATTAAGGATTTAATATATTGTTATGAAACAGGTTTGCTTGGGGAAGACAATGGAAATTCATAGCAGTAACAATAGTTCTGATAACACGAGTTCACCTTCGTGGAGGTAATACTGACAGTTAGTGTACTACTAAGTCCTAAGTACTTTATTTTTGCCTTCTCTGATGACTGTCCAGTGCAGACTCATTTGCATGGTAATTGTGTATCTAAAATATTATTTTATTTTAGTGAAATATTAAATAATTGAAATTTATTTTAATATGTTAAAACATGGGTAAATCTCTTTTATTTTTTAAAAGACTTTACATTTTAGAGCAGGTTTAGGTTCATAGCAAAGTTCATTGGAAAGTACAGAGAGTTTCCACATATTTTCCATCCTTCACATATGCATAGCCTCCCCAGCTATCAGAATCCCCAACCAGTGTGATACATTTGTTGCAGTTAATGAACTTGGAATAACACATCATTACCCAAATTTCATCATTTACATGAAAGTTCACTCTTGGTGTTGTAAATCTCTCTTTAAAGATATGGCCTTGCTGTATTATTATTTGCCAAGGGATCAAGGACCTGCTCAGGGCCACCAGTGTCAGCAACTAGATTCTGAATAAATATTTGATTAATAAATGAATTACTACAAGTTATTGATAGAATATAGGCAGAATGTTTTTTTGTTTTTTTTCTCTTCAGATTTTATAGGTTCTTAACAAAAAACCAAAATGAAGACATAATGTTTTTAATGTAATGGTAAAGAGGAAACTTCTGTGTTTTGAATACTCTACTTGAATTGTCATTGCTGTAAAGAGAAATAATTTTGATTATTTTTGTTTTTACTCAGGTATGAAGAATTTATTCTCAAATTAATACTCATGCTTATGAGTGTATAAATGCTCATATATTGATTTAATAAAGGTTTCTGTTACTTGATAGGATGGGCTACTTGCATTGTACAATTTTTTTTTAACATTTTCCCCTGTCTTTCACAGTTCTTTTATTCTTACACAGAGTTAGAAAGATGTAAGACTAAATTCACCACCTAAATTTAATAAATAATATTTTGTAAATATATTTATATCATTTGACCCCATAATTCTATTTTTCACAATTATTATAAGGAGATAATCCAAAAGGCGGAAAACTAAGTGCCCAGTCACGTCTTTTGTGGTATTATTTATAAACATAAATCTTAATCTAAAATTTCTTTAAGATGAGCAGTGTTGCAAAGAATCTGATTATGGGGATGTGATGTGTCTCATTCCTTTTTTTTTTTTTTTTTTTGAGATAGAGTCTCACTATGTTGCCAGGCTGGACTGCAGTGGTGTGATCTCAGCTCACTGCAACCTCCACCTCCCAGGTTCAAGTGATTCTCCTGCCTCAGCCTCCCAAGTAGCTGGGATTACAGGCACGTGCCACCACACCTAGCTAATTTTGTATTTTTAGTAGAGGCGGGGTTTCACCATGTTGATCAGGATGGTCTCAATCTCTTGACCTTGTGATCCACCCCGCTCGGCCTCCCAAAGTGCTGGGATTACATGCATGAGCCACCACGCCTGGCCGCGTCTCATTCCTTTTTTCAATCAAAGGAAAGGAGGCTTGCATTGAGGAAGGAGTGCAGTTTAAGAGGTAAAGCCAGCTATTCCTTGTCAAGGTCTTGAAATTGCTAGCATTAGCAGCTGGTCCTCTCTGGGTTTTTAGAGGAGTAGATACCCAGAGGCCCTGTGTGGAAACTGAGTTTTATCAGCCAGAGGTTTGGGCGTAGTGCTAGTCTCAGAGTCAAAGGAAGATTGGTCAAACTTGAGGAAGAGCTACTAGGTGGCAGCAGGCTCTTCTTATTCAGAATAGCCACCCCAACCCCTGAGGACCCCAGATGCATGACATTCAGTAAACTTGTTGAGTTCTTACTATGCTTTAGACCTTGATCCAGGAGCAAGATATATCAATGGGGGAAAAAAAAGATTACTGTTCCTATGGGAGAAGGGGTTTGGAGGACAATTAATGATGCCTTTCTGATCTTGAATCTTCCCACTCATACTCCTCCAAAAGTCATAAATCCAACAAGGAGAACAAATAAAAACAGACAACTCATACCTTCAAGAGCATTAAGAGACAGCAACAAGCCTGTGATAGCAAAGAGTGACACAGGGGAAGCTGATAGAGGCTTAAGAAGCTGTGAAAAACAGTACAGGGGTGTGGAGGACTTAATCAAATCACAAGCAAAATTATTCCAGAAAGACAAAACTGGGATGCTGTGTAGTTCATTCACAGCACTGGATGCAATAAAGGAGGCTGAAAGTGACTGGAATTGGCAGCTGTTGGAAAGCATTGCCTCTAGGGGAGAGTCAAACGGTGGTACCTGTTAAGACAGGATAGTGAAAGTAAAGAAGGAAGGAAAAGGGAGAAATTAAGGATCCTGTGGAAATGAAAAAGAAACAAGACAACCCAAACCCTTCTTCTTTCGTCTCCCAGTGCCAGCTGTAAAAAGTACATAGAAGAGGGCAAAGGTGACAGAAAAAAAGACTCTCAGATTAGGAACCAGTTCGTTCATTAAATAAATAGGAATAGAATAAAGTAGCCCACATCTACCCAAAACGACTCTCAAACATTGAAAATAGGGATTAGTGCATTTTGGTTGCAAAAACTCTTGCAATAAGTCAACTGTAAAATTAAAACTGTGCATAACACTGAAATATGAATTGAATATTTGAATTCATGCTTTTTGGTGTATGAAACAAACAAGCCTACCTTTAGTTAGAAGTACAAAAGCTAAGTAGAGAAATGGACAAAAAATAAAATGAAATAAAATTAGAGTTAATTGAACTTCTGGCAAGAATAGAAGAAAAGAAAAAATCAAATCAGAAGTGAAGACTAAATTGCAAGGTACCTAAAGGAAAATCAGATTAAAATGGCAGGTGGTAACCCAACATATTAATATTTACATTGAATGTAAATGGTCTAAACATCAAAATGAAAAGTCAGAGATTGGCAAAATGCATTAAAAATATGACCAAACCATATACTGTCTACAAGAAACTTCAACTGTGTGATATCAGTAGGACTGAAAAGAAAAGGATGGGTAAATGCTAATCAAGAGAATGGTGGATGCCTATACAAAGGGGACTTCAGAACAAAGAAATTTACTAGGAGTAAAGAGGACATTACTTATTGATAAAACGGTCAATTCTCAAAGAAGACATACCAATCCTAAACATGTATTCAGTAAACAACTTTTATAATACAAAAAGCAAAAACAAGCAGAACTCAAATGAGTAATTGACAGATCCACCATTACAGTTGAGGATGCCAATATGCCTCTCTCAGTAGTTCATAGAACCACTATTCAGAAAATTAGTAAGGATATATTAATAGAAGAACTCAATGATACTATTAAATAATAGGATCAAATTGACATTTATAGAACTCCCCACCCAACATCAGCAGAATTCAGGTTCCATACCTATGGAATGTATACCAAGATAAACCATATTCTGGATAATAAACTATACAAATTTAAAGAATTGGAATCATACCAAGTATTTTCCCTGATCATAATGAAACCTAACTAGAGATTAATAACAGATGACAGGTAAAATAACTGAAAGAAGTTTTATCTGAATGAAAACCTTGTTTTTCTGGCCAGGCACTGTGTTATACACCTGTAATCCCAGCTTGTCAGGAGGCTGAAGAACGAGGATCACTTGAACCCAGGAGTTTGAGACCAGCCTGGGCAGCATAGTGAGACCCCATCTCAAAAAAAGTCTTGTTTTTCTACCCTTCATTTTGAATTGTTATTGACTTGGAACATGTGAAAATAGATATCTCTCATCTGACAGTGTGCCAAAATTATAATGGTATATATTAGTTGATTGTTATCCACGATAAATTGTTTCTCTGTCCATTTTGTTTTACAGCTTCTCTTTTAAAAGGACTAAAACATGCTAACATAGTGCTACTTCATGACATCATCCATACCAAGGAGACGCTGACACTTGTGTTTGAATATGTGGTAAGTAAAATAAGACTTTTAAATTTAGACATTTAAAATATGAATGAAATTCTTATAGTGTTGTCATAGAATTTCGTTTTTAGATTGCTGTACTGAAGTTAATATTTTATCTGAATACATGAGAATTATAATTTTGTATAAAATAAAGGCCCTATAAGAGATTATTGAATGATATGTATCTTAAAAGAAAAACCCAGAAAAATGTTAACTTGAATTTTTATCAGATATGTTATCTATTTATAACCTATTTGTTACTAGGATACATTGTAATTTTTAGGTTTATTACATAGGATTCAACAGCCTGATGGTGATCATTATCAAAGAAAACTCATAGGCAATAAGAATGGTTTTTTATTTTTGGATTTGTAACTTGGTTTCTCAAAAGCATGCTTATTAAGATATGTGTGTGTGTGTGTGTGTGTGTGTGTTTGTGTGTGTGTGTGTAGGAAAGCCTGATACAATTTAGACTTCAAAGTTTTCCCCCTCACTTGGTATTTCAGCTATTAATTAGAACTTCCAATTGCATAGTACACAATGTAATGATCTTCTTATGTGAGAGTATTATTGCTAGAAGACTTGGACTTGAACTCATAATTAATTCTTCTCCATTTCTCTTAAAAAACATGGTATTTGTGTAGCACTACTTCAGCATTTAACTGTGGAATCGTGAAATGTAACTATGATAATTAACATCCCAATTTTCACAGATGGATCTAAGAACATGTAATTTATAAGACACAAATGACATCGGTGCAGACATTTATTTAGAATAGTTGTTGGTATTGTCAGTGTATTAGGACCCCATTTTGTAATTACCACACTACTTTTTAAAAAATTTGAAGTACTTTCCATTTTTCCTTAAAAAAAAAAAGAATGAATATTTGCAACATTTTTATTTTGCTTATGTCTGCCTGTGTCTGTCATTTGAAAATTGTCTTATGAAGAAGCCGTTTATCTTGTCTATTTACATATAAATGATAGATACATTTGAATAATATGGTAATGTGACTGCAAGGACAGCTAGAGCTGAGCAGTTGCATATATTATGTGGTACCAAGAATGGATGCAGATTCACACATCAATGCAAACATAATTTCTTTTGTTTAATCCATGATTTTTGAGTTAATAATGTATTCCAGCTGATTTAGACTTGGAACTTTTGATTCATACTTTTAAGTATGTCTAGTTTACATATTTCAGTTAAATCTAGATTTTCTTTACTATGCTTGACTTTTACAGTGTTTTGTAGAAAAGAGATTTCAAAAATGTACTTATTCTGTCCCTCAAATTAGATAATTAAAAGGAAGGAAAGTAGCTTGTGCACCAAAATCAGTAACATTGGTAAAGAAACTAATAAAAGTAATGTGAAAATATGTCCTCTAAATCTTAAAAAATAATGGAATATATTTATGGGGCTAAAATGTACATATTGGATCAAGTGTCATTTGACGATTTTGTATTTATGTTGTTGCCAAATAAAAGGAAATAAATTCACTACCCTGCATTATTTACTGATAAAGACTGACTTTTAAACATAATCACTTTTCTTTGTGTGAGTAAAATTTTCCCTAGTCCAATTCTTATGGAGACATCCCATGTGCTTTTAAATCAACCACTTAATAATATGGGCACATGCAGTATCTAGAGTAACATTTTGTTCCCAACTTCTCCATGGAGTTCGTACATCATATAGATTACTCTTGTCTCTTTTAGAGATTGAGGCCAACTTGGGTCATTTTTGGCTTATGATTGCCCTGCCTCTGCTTCTATTGACCTGTCTACCTGTGTTGCCTTACTTTTACACTGCTTCTTTGCCTTTTTCCTTTCTACCTTTCTTTTTCTATCTTTTCCTGTTCTCATCATTTTCTAACATTTTGCTTTTTTGCTGCTATATGTGAAGTTTGATTTTTGTGCATTTTTAGTAAAAGATGTTTAGTTGAATTCCTGAAATCAGCCTTTGGTGAAAAGAACCGCTTCAGTTTGTAGAAATTTCTTAGGGATAGTCTTCTCATTTAGGGTGGGAAGGTGTAGATTTCTCAGCACGATTAGTCTATTTGGCAATTGCCCAGTTCAAAAATAACTTCCCTGAATATTACCTAAAGTTTTTATTTCCTTAACACAAGTTTCCAATTGCTTGTTCTTTGTAAATATTTGGATATCTCAAGAAAAATTAAGGTTCTTACATACCTTAATGGATGGTTTTAATCAGATTGCTTTCCTCACAGTGTCTAGCAGAAATAAACTCTACTCTTCTTGCATGTTTTGAAGCAGTGGAAAGGCAATAATAATTATTAAACATTAAGTGCCTTGGAAATTAGAGCAGATATTAGTGAGCGGCATAAGGTAGGAAACAGGAGGGCACTGTGGGCTTGGGATGAATGAGTGAGGGCCACAGAAAGAGAGGCAAAAGAATGTTTAAGACAAATATGGCCACAATAATAAAACCCAACAGCTGAAATTTACAGTTTTATGCTGAGCACTGTACGGAGGGCTTTACATTCATTGTCACTTTTGGTGCTCTCAACAGCCTCATGGAACTGTAAATACCATCATTTTGCAAAGGAAAAACCTAAAGGTTAGGGAGATGAAGCAGTTATTTCCAAGGTCTTGTAGTTTGTAAGATAGACCCAGGCCCATCCTAATTGGACTGTTATAGCTCCTGTTTATTTTTATCAATTTTAGTTAGCCTAGGTCTTTGGTCAGAAGAGGAAAAGAAAACTTTCTTCTTTCTTTCCATAACCTTCCTTTATTCTACACTTAATATCCTGAGTGCAGATAAGTCCTAAAAACAGTGAAACTGCTTTATAGTTTGAATAAGTTTTGTAGATTGGCCAAAAACCTGTCCATTTAAACTCTTATTTCAATTACAAAATGTGTTTTTAGTTTCCATAAAGCAAACTTGTAAGTTATAGTATTGTCACATATATGCCACTAGGGTCTTCTGAAATACACACACATACACATACACACACACACACACACACACACACACACACACACACACAGAACTTTGTTAGCAAGTTCTAAAATCAGTATCAGTTTAATTTAAAATTTCTAAAACTTAATGATAATGTTGCTGTATTTCAGAATTATTAACATCAAAGATATTTTCTAAACAATGTTGATTTTGTAGTTCTGTGTAATTAATTCATTGTACCCTTTTTTGAGGGAGATACCATTGTAAGTTAAACAGTAGAAAAAACCAATACCCCATGCCCATTAAAACCCTGGATATGACGGGAAAGTAAAATAATTTAAGATTCATTAGATACTATTGTATTTTTCCTTTTGATTTCACAATGAAGTTTTCAAGGGCTTTTTGAGATACCTATGTAATTCAAGTTTTACCAAGTGAAGGATTCTTATTTATAATATGTACATACTACAAATGTATTTCTTTTTTTGGCTTTAAAGGAGAACTGTAAGCCTAGTTGCTTTATATTGTTGCCATGAATGACATTTTAGGTTTTATAAAAGCCTTCTGAAGGCCAGAATAATGAAATAAGTGGTAAAAATTTAGTGATGTGAAAGAATACTCAAGGAAATGACTTTGAAGGTCATTATTAAAGTGGTTTAGCGGCTAATAGGATATTGTTGGTGTAGGCTTTCTTTTAATAGGAAAAGCTTTACAGACCTAAAGTGTTCTGTAATTTAGATTCTTATACAGTTACAAAGTCTGTAGATACTACGATCTGGAAGCTGCAAGGTTGGGAACCCCTTAGGAAATGTGCTCCTTAAGTTGCTCATGTTGCTATTGGGTAACATGTGGGCCCCTCTGATGCATGGTTTTGAGTACAGTTATTTCCAAGGTCTTGTAGTTTGTAAGACAGACCCAGGCAGTTGGGTCTAATATGTCAAACATGAAGGAACACCTTAAACCAAGGAGTCGCTCAGTTAGCTTGAAAAGGAATCTCGTTCATAATGGTCTAAAATATTATTATAGCTGTCTTTTTTCCCTATACAGGTTTAAGACTTGGAAGAGAAAGGTAGAAAATGTAGTTGAGAATCATTGACTCCCGAATATATTTAGTTGTGAAAGTTCTAACAAATTTTTCTTCTACTTAAACAGAAAGTTAAGCAATTTAGTTTTTATTTTCTTTGCCAAAGACAAATAAGTGCCGCATTAACCTATTTAACACCATGCTGAAAAATTTAAAACAGATCCCATCAGTGAAAATAAGAATGCTGATAGCAAACATGATTATTTAAATATATATTGCCATTAAGCTAATAACTGTTCTCTTTTAAATTACATAAGAGCAAAGCATGTGTAGCAGCATTTTTCATTACATATTTAATAATTGTGTACAAGTAGAAATCAAAATAGAATTGTGATTACCAGGGAATAAGGAGGAGGGGAAAATAGGGAGTTGTTCAGTGGGTATAAAGTTTCAGGTTTTTTTTGGAGGGGGGTGGATACAAGATGGATGATAAAAGTTTCAGTCGTAAGTTGCAGAGAGCTACCGCACACCATAGTGCACATGGTTTAACAATATGATATTGTGCACTTACAATTTTGGTAGTAGAGTAGATTTTTATGTTAAGCATTCTTACCATCAGAAATATAAAAGCAAGGTTGGACACAGTGGCTCAATCCTGTGATCCCAGCACTTTGGAAAGTGGAGGTGGGCGGATTGCTTGAGGCCAGGAATTTGAGACCAGCCTGGGCAACATAGTAAGACCTTGTCTCTACATAAAATTAAAAAAAAAAAATTACCCAGGCTGGTGGCATGTGCCTGCAGTCTTAGCTGCTCTGGAGGCTGAGGTGGAAGGATGCTTGAGTCCAAGAGTGCAAGACTGTAATGAGCTACAATTGTACCACTAGACTGGACTCTGGATGGCAGAGCAAGAATTTGTCTCTAAAAAACAAACAAACTATTTATATATATGCATTCACCCATAATACCATCACCACAATCAAGACAGTTAAGGTAATAAACATATCCATTACTCCACAAGTTTCCTTGTGTCATTTTGCCTTTATTATACATATATATTACATATATATGTATATATACACACTATATATATATACACACACACACACATACACATACATACACACACATTAATGGAGTAATGGATATATTTATTAACTTGATTGCCTTGATTGTGGTGATGGTATTATGGGTGCATGCATATGTCCAAACTCCTCAGATTGTATACATTAAGTATATACAGTCATTTGCATATCAGTCATACCTCAATAAAGCTGTGAAACAAAGAAAAGCAACAAACTCAAAGCTAATCATGATATTGTTAGGGATAATCATTTTGTTCCTATTGTGCTATAAACTAGTGAAATAGCCTAAACTAATGTATAACATTATATAAAACAAAAATATTGTATTTCACATGAAAACAAAACTGTATCAATAGAAATCATAAAGCCCATAAAATGTTTTTATAGTGTTGTACATTCTACAAAGCACTCTTATAGATGTTATTTTATTAGATGCCACCCTCAGCTCTTTGAGTTGTAGGTAGCATGTTATTTTTATGAAGTATTTTATCGATGAGGAAAAATAATGCTTAGAGAATTTAAAGCAGATTGACAAATGATTTAGCCAAGTTAAAATGGTAAAGATATGACTTTAGCTCAAGTCTTCTGTGCCTAAAGATGCCAGTTACTCCATTTTAACCTGCAACTTACCTGTGTTATTACCTTCCTAGAGTTTTATATGATGGTCTAAGGTATGTATGATGTTAGAAGATGGGACAGGAAGCTGAAAATTACATACTGTCTTTTCAACTTGCTACAGAATTTACTTAATTATTTGGTTTCTCTGCCTCATACATTTTGATGTTTAAATCTGTGAAGAATGCTGTGATTTGCATGATTTTATGCCACATCTGTTCTTGAAAAACTGTAGCTCTCTATCAATATTTTGCTTTCCAGATTAAGCAGTCCTTGAGCAATTGAACATTTTTCTGCTTTCCTCTGAGATAGATGTATGTGCATAGGTATGCACACATGCAACTTTAATTGAGGGTGATCAGGGAGGGCTTGCTGAGAAGTGTTTAGGTAAAAATCTGAAGGAGATGAAAGAGGGAGATGCACATATTTTTAGAGGAAGAGCATTCTAGGCAGAAAGCTTGTCTGAGGAACAGCAGGGCTGTGGCTTGCAGGGAGCTAGCAAGGATGACAATAGGAAGAGACAAGGTTTGAGATGCAATGGCATTCAGATTCTGTGGGCTTTGAAAGGTTTGGCTGTACTGAGTTTGGCTTTGACTCAGAATGAGATGGGAAGCCTCCAAAGGGTGTTGAGCAGAGAAATTATTTGATCTGACTCATATTTTATTGGATCTCTGGCTGCTTTCTTAAGAATGGACCAAGGGTGGGGAAGTTAAGAATCAAGAGACCAGTCAGGAGGCTATTGCAATAAGATCTAAACATGAGATGATGTCTGCAGAAGAGGTGAAGAGAAATGGTTGGATTCTGGATATACATTGTGTGGCCGACACACCTGTTGGGAAGACTTTAAAAGTGGGCAGGAACAGCATGAGACTGGATAGCCAGACCAGAGCCAAAATCATGCCATGGCACTGTCCACTAAGCACCCTGCTGCCACCATGAGTGTTGGGGCTGGACATTGTCTCTTGCTTTGCTGGCCTTGCCTATCTTTGCCAATGTTGCCAAAATGGGAACATCCTACATTATCATTGCTTCTTTGGACTGTTAGCTCGTAATGCTAAGCCAGGATTGATTGTGTTTGTTGGCTGAGATGAAGTTTCAAGCCCATGTTTTGACTGCACAGGACCATAAGAAAGTGAGTATCTAGCATTTTGGCTATTCTAATGGCAGGTGGGTCCTGTTTCCTGTCAAGATTCATAAAATACCATTGACTGCAGAAAGAAATTGTGATACATATACACTGTGGAATACTATGCAGTCATAACAAAGAGATCATGTCCTTTGCAGGAACATGTATGGAGCTGGAGGCCATTATCCTTAGCAAACTAACACAGGAATAGAAAACCAAATACTGCATGTTCTGACTTATAAGTGGGAGCTAAATGATGAGAACACATGGACACATAGAGGGGAACAACACACACTGGGGTGTGCCAGAGGGTGGAGGCTGGGAGAAGGGAGAGGATGAGGAAAAATAACTAATGGATACTAGGCTTAACACCTAGGTGATGAAATAATTTGTATAGCAAACCCCCATTACACAAGCTTACCTGTATAACAAACTTGCACGTGTACCCCAAGCTTAAAATAAAAGTTTAAAAAAATTCATAAAATCAGAACCTTTCCCAACTTAGGGAATACATTCGGATACAGGGCATACTTCCGTTTTTCCCTGCTTTTCCACCATGCCCTAAGGAGAAAAAGACACCTCATAAACGTCCACTAGATTCATTATCTAGTCCCAGATAAGGTAAATCTAGAATGTAAAAAGAATTGGCAGGTGGTATATTCATGGAACCATTGTTTATAATGTTTGGGAAATCATCAAGAATGGAGATGGGCAAAAGTAATGCTGGTTTTTAAAGGGTGATGGGGGACAAATCTGAGTCTACAGAAATATAAGCTTCATATAGAACATTGGTGAAATTTAAAATAAATTTTTAGACATTAGGGTCTAATGATCTTCATTCTCTTTGTTATTTCCTGATTTCAACAGACTAGTGAACTAGTTTGAGATATTTATGAGATATTTAAAACAAGAATAGAAATCTAGTTGTTAGGAGATCATTATTTTTTTTCCAGTCTTATCTCTGGTTGAACCACTTTGTCCAAAGCATGTTGATCAATGAATTGACATCATCATGGAGAAAAGTCTGTCGGGGTGTGCTGGAGGGCATTGTCCTTGTCCTTGTTCTATTTGATATTTTTATTAATGACTCAGATAGTGGTGGTGATATGCTGGACCTATTTGTGTCATAGCTGGGAAGTATAATTAACACTTAGGGTGATAGAATCAAGGATCAGAAAAGAATATAATAAAATGATGAGCCTAACCTACAAGGTGAATTATCATGGGGATAAGTAAAACGGTATATTTGGTTTTAAAAAAAGAAAGCATCCCAACCTAATACAGAAAAATGGGGTGGAGGAAAGGTAACTTAAAACAATCCATGTAAAAAAAGACTAGTGATTTCTTTGGTGTATGGGAGTATGCACAGAGGAGCTCCAATAAGATGCCAAAATTATTCAGGAGAATTAAAGACATACCAAGAGAGGAGAGAAAAAGGTAGTGTATATATTCTAGATGGGGTAAGGAAGTCAAGTGTGAGAATTTGGGGAAGGCTGGCTTTGGCTTAATTCTTAGAAGAATGCTCAATTATGTGTTTTCTGTAAATTATGTTCACTTCTTTGAAATATAATGAGCACCTTATTGCTAAAAGCATTCAAATAGAGGATGACTAGATTCACATCAGGAATATTGTAGAAAGGGTTCCTAACCTGTATTACATGCATGACATTGAGATATGTAATTTAGGTTATGTGCTGCCAACTGATACCATGACGTAGATGTAAGGTCCCTTCATTTTGCAGATGAGGAAATTTAGGCTAAGATGTCAGATACTTCGTGCATGCCGTTTCCAGTGGCTACATCATATCATCTCCTGAGTTGAGTGTGAATCCAGGTAACTACAAGTTTCCATAGCAAATGATTGCCCAAGGTTTTACAATTGGCATATATAAGTGTGTCCCATGTGACATAATTTTGGGGAACAGAAACACAGCTCATTATGGTCATTCACTTAATAATTTATGTATTCATTCATTCACTTTTTTCCCTCCAACATATACGGACTGTCTTCTCTGTGCCAGGGAGTATCCTTAAGTTCTAGAGATACAAATATATAGACCTTGTTTTTAAAGAGATTGAAGTCATGTGAAGAACTGTGATCTTAGACGAGGTAAACCTCCATAAGCCATTTGAGTTATAAATTGCTGTCACACATCTATAGGTGTCATGGTACTAGAACATATTTGTGTTTTAGTGTAAACAATAGGAAAACTAGATTTGTCTCATAGGCTTTTCTTTATGGAAGGGTTTTTGTTTCATATATGGAGAACTAGTTATGCTGTATAATACTGTGATTCTATATTCTGAAGGGGAGGTTGTCATTCAGAACCAAGTACAGAATGCGAACAGATGTAAACATTGTGGATGACTGAATGTGCAGGCAGTGTAAGATGGAGGAATTCTGAACCATAAGGAGAAATTAAAGAAATAAAAAGGAAACAAGCTAGCTTTCAGTCAGTGCTCTCTTAGGAACTTCTCATTTTCTGTAATTGGTAGGACAAAATAAATTAACTTCTTTTCTATCCTTTTCCCTAATGGCTTTTTCTCATCTAATAATAAGGAATGATGGTTACCTTTAGTCATTTTTAACTGTCCACTATCATGTTGGGTACTGAGATATCAATTTTTTTCCTGTTTACATCATATCTATCATCTCTATATTCTAGTTTTATGTGATTGCTCTCCTTATTAGATACTTATAATCATGATTTGGTATTTAATTCACATGGTCTAAGATAGAAGTGTTTCTGATCTCCAACTGTTGCTATGGTAAATGCCTGCCTATCCACAAAAGCACACAGTTCTGAGTATATTCCACCATAGATCAAACTATTTTAATGAGAATACAGTATGCATCTGATTTTTATAATATTTTAATTCTTGTTCCTCAGTTTATCTTAGAATTTCACCACTTAAACTATGATATTTAATGGTAGAGAAATCACAGAAAAGATAAAACAGTAATAAAAAGATAATTCCTTTGGAAAGAAAAGTATATATTTCTCATGTTAATTTTTTTTAAAAATTTTCTCACAGGAATTATGGCCATATGTCTTAAGAAAACAATACTCCTGGAAAACTGCATGATTCAGGGGGTGGGTGGAGGCACGAGAGTAATACATTGAATGTAATAAGACTGACAATAATTATCAGCTTGGAGAGATTAGAGAAAGCTCCAGCTAAGGTACAAAAGTTGCCACCTGATGTAAGTACCCAAGATCAGGATGAAGATGATCAATAATTCCAGTTACCTTCACATTAAGTCTGAATAGGTCATTAAGTAATTGATGAAAAAATCACTAGCAAATTCAGTTGTAAGTGTGAAAGTATACATTATTATATATCATACAAAACTGGTGGCTATAACTTCACAAATTTTTAAAGTAAGTTAGTAAATGCCTGTCATGAAAATGACCACTTCTTGCATTCTATTTAGTGTTTTTAATTTTACTTTTTCTTCCATTTTATGAATACTTAGTTAATATCACATAATGGTTTAGTTTAATGTGCATTCTATACTTTGGTAAAGGAATATTAGGCCACCCTATAAATTATTCATTTTTGTTGATGTGATTTTTGCTTTTATGCAAGTTATGTATGTATTTAGATTAAGTCAATTAGTTCCAGGTTTCTTATGAAAAAACAGCAGTTTTTACCTTCAACTTTCCACTTTTTTAGCTGATTCTTTCAGTTTCTCTTTAAATATCTAATAAAACTCATTTATTTTCACTTATTGATTATTCATCTTTGGCATAATCTACTGATTCCTACAATGCAAAGCGAGAATTTGGTTTTTTTTCTCATTCCTCCACTTCAAAACAAACGTACTCACCTTTTCCTGCCACCCTCCCAGTCTCCCATCCTCCCAGTGTAGTCATAATTTTGATTATATCAGAATTCAGAATTTGATATTTATATTAGCATGTTAATATAAATCTTTGTAGCCAAGACACATAGTGTACTGTGACTACTTTTTCCTCTCTGTTTCTCTGGAATTAATATTAATTTTCTGTTTTTCATTTCTGTTATTAATTCAGGGCCTCCCAGAGCATCTGCCTGGTGTATCTTTCCTGATTTCCAGGCATGCCCTTCCCCTCTTCCCTGAGCTGGAGCTCTTTTGTCTTCATCTTATGTGGTTTTGTCTTGAGGAAGACAATTTCTAATAGCTTCCTGGGAAAGGGTGTGTGCGAGATTTTTGTTGTTGTTGAGGCATTGTATTTTTGAAAATATCTTTATTCGGTGCTCATGCTTGATTGACATTTTGGCTAGATGTAGAATTCTTGCTTGGAAATAATTCCATTCGAATTTCAGTAAGATTGCTCCATTTTTCAGTTCCATTGTTTCTGTTAAGCTATTTCTCTTTATTTCTAGTGTCCTGAAATTTTATGATAAAGTGAAAAAGAAACCAAGGTTCAGCTTTATGCTCATTGGGTGTACTTTTTCAATCTGGAATCTCATGTCCTTTCATCCTTTTTTTTTTTTTTTTTTTTTTTTTTTTTTTTTTTTGAGACGGAGTCTCGCTCTGTCGCCCAGGCCGGACTGCGGACTGCAGTGGCGCAATCTCGGCTCACTGCAAGCTCCGCTTCCCGGGTTCACGCCATTCTCCTGCCTCAGCCTCCCCAGTAGCTGGGACTACAGGCGCCCGCCACCGTGCCCGGCTAATTTTTTGTATTTTTAGTAGAGACGGGGTTTCACCTTGTTAGCCAGGATGGTCTCGATCTCCTGACCTCATGATCCATCCGCCTCGGCCTCCCAAAGTGCTGGGATTACAGGCGTGAGCCACCGCGCCCGGCCTCATCCTTTTTTTAATGTGTGTAATGCAGTAGCTTTATTACGATACAATTCATGTAACAAAGTTTGCTTTTTAAAAGTACACAATTCAGCGGTTTTGAGCCTATTCACAACGTTGTGGAACCATTACTACAACCTAATTTTACAATTCATTACCCTAAAGAGAATCCCATATCCATTAGCATTCACTCTGAATTCACCACTAACCCCCTGCTCCTGAACCACCGATCTACTGTATGTCTCGATAGATTTGCCTGACATCTCATATAAATGGAATCATAATAATATGTGACCCTTTGTCATTGTCTTCTTTGACTTAGCATAATGTTTTTGAAGTTCATCCATGTTGTAGCTTTTCTCAGTACTTCATACTTCCTTAAGACTGAGTAATATTCCATACTTTGGATATACATTTTATCTATTTATTCATCAATTACTGTACATGTGGGGTTTCTTTTCGCCTTTTGGCTGTTGTGAATAGTGCTGCTATGAACATTTGTGTACGTGCATTTGTTTATCTTCTTTCAATTCTTTTGTGCATATATCTAGGAGTGGTATTGCTGATCATCTTATAACTCTATCTTTCAGCTTTTGAGGGACTGCCAAACTATTTTCCAAAGTGGATGCACCATTTTACAATCCAACCAGCAGTGTATAGGGGTGCCAATTTTATTTACACTTGGCAACACTTGTTATTTTCTGCCTTTTTTTTTTATTATATTGGATGTTTAGTTGTATCTGATAGTGAGTTTGTCTTGTGTTTTCCTGACTTATGATGTTGAACATCTTTAATGTATTTACTTGTATTCAAGAACTTAAATTATTTTGTTACTATTTCCTTCCTTTATTTTCTCCTTTCTCTATTTTTAGATATTTTATTATTTGAATGTTGGACCTCCTGGATTGTTCTCCTAATTTTCTTGTCTTTTCTCTCCCGTTTTCTAATTCTTTTTTCTTTAGCTCAACATTAATGATCAAATTTCCTCAACTTTGTGTTTCACATATTCTATTGAAGTTTCTAAATTTAAATTTTATTATTAATTTCTAAGGTACCTTTGCTCTGAATATTTCATTTATAATATATTCTTCCTTGTTTCAAGGTTGCAATATCTTTTCTTACTAATATTTTCTCACTGAAAATATTAATAATAGCCTTTGTGAAGTTTTTCTAATAGTAAAACTATGTTTCCACCAAGTTGTTATTTTTTTCTTTTAGTTTGTTTTGGGCTCTCTCTTGAATATTTGAGGCTTTGGCCAGATAGCTGGTACAGAAGCAATATGATTGGGAATTCCAGGTATGTGGGTATCTGGGTCATTATGAATTTCACTGTAGGTACTGACTAAGTCATATTGTTGAGAAACCCTCAATGCCAGTATCCGTCTTTCCTGTGATGCTATGAGATTCCCAATGAAAAAACTTCCAAACTCCTGCCTGGCTGCCAATCTTCTGGAAACTGAGTGGGGATCAGACCCCTACATAATCCCCCATTTTAGGATGGTGTCGCTGTCCCTAACTGGTTGGATTTTCTAGTTTGGACACCCTCTGTTTTTCCTTCTCTGGGTTTAAGAGGGGCAGTTATCTGTATAAGCAGAGTGGGGAAACAAATCTAAGTTAAATAGCTACTAAAAAGATTGTCAACCAATATTCCATGTTTTCGACTTCCATATATAGACTTTCAACTCATGCCCACTTCCTGGTGCCACCAATTTCTGAGCCTTTTGATTGTTCTCCGCATAAGCAGTGCTGCTTCTAGGCTTTCCTCACTGCCAGTTTAGTATTCCATTTGGTTGGTTGGGTGTATTTTCTATGCAAAACTTGCTACCATCTGTTTTGGAGCTTCAAAATTTGGTGAGTGGGAATTCAGGAGAATACAAGGTAGATCCATATGTTCTATTTGTCATCTTTACTTTGGAATATCATCCATTCTTAATAAGTTTAAATATGAACAAATGTTAAAGCGTGCCATTATGTAAACCAATGTATAATTAGATAACTTTTTGACGTCAATTGTTGTGAAGTATATAAGTTTTTCTCTTTATCAGTTGTCAGAGTTTATCAAATATGACAAGGCTAGTGGGAGTGAAGGTATTTTAATTAACTGTTATTAGATTATTGTCCATTCAATAACATTTTAGGCACAAGAGCAGTGTCTGAAGGATTTTATTAGAATTTGCTATCTTAATAGAAAATAATTATGGCTGTCAATTGGCTGGTTAGTTGTTGGTTTGTTTTTTTATGATTTGTTATGATTTTGAGATGTTGACACATGTATAGATACATATTCATACATTTGACAGTATTTTAAAGCCAATGAGAACCTTTTTACAGTCTGTGTATAAAGGAATATATAGGGGTAAAAGGTTCTGATTTTAAAATTTAATTATTCAGAATATATACACTTCATTTTTCAGTTTCATTATGTTTTCATTGCCGTGTATTATTAAGATGTTATTTTTCGTAAATGAACTTCAGTGTTCTGAGTTAACATTCAACTTCTAGTGAGTAATTTACTCCTTTCTCACTGGTATATTCAAGCCTGGCTATAAATCCCCAACAGATACTCATGCCTCATTTCTATTTCATAAATTGGGAACTGAGAAACTAACTTGTGGTGGCAGCTATTTGCTGAGTAAGAATTTTCCATCTTTTGGGTTTTTCCTTTCTTCTCAAATATGTGATCTTGGTTTTAAAGCTTTGGATCTCAATTACTAGTTTTTCTTTCAGCCCTTGTTAGGGACATTTGGAAGAATGGATTGATTGATGTTTCTCCCCCTTCTATTTTATTACCCTTTTTACTTGGATAAGGAAGTTAGAACCAGTCAGGAAAGAAAAATGTTGAGTATTCTAGCTAGAATCTTAGGAAATATGTGAGGAAAGCTGTCTAAATCTAACAAGAAGATAAAAAGTCAACAATACTATGGGAAAGCAATATGGGGAGAATATGATTAGTAATAGAATATTTATTAGAGAAAAAGAAAGGACCAGGGATCTTTAAAAAAATCAGATTTTGGCTAACTAAAAATACATTGAACTGAGTGGTATCTTGTAAGGGTTCAAAGGGCAACATGATCATTCTTGTTTGTCATCACGACACCTGTATAAGATGAATGAGCTGGATGAGCAGCCAGTCTCCATGAGAGCAGGGACTAATTTCTCATGTTACCAAATGCAGTGGGCACCCTATAAATCTTTGCCAACTTGATATGGTAATTTTCATAGAATAGATGCATTGGACACATTGTGTGGCTGTGTGTGTGTGTGTGTGTGTGAGAGAGAGAGAGAGAGACAGAGAGAGAGAGAGAATTGAGAGTTATTTTTCAAGGTTTTCATTAAAACTGTCTTATAGAGTATATCAGACACAGAGATATAGTGGCTGGTTTCTCCTTGAAAGGAGGACTTACTACAGGAAGTAATATCAGCTGAATGCCTCCATCTGTCAGCTCCTCCAGCATCTGCTTCAGCACAGAGACCCATTCTGATTGAGGTCAGGCCTTTCCTCAGGCTTCCTATATCTGGTGACTGCAAAACATGAAGGTATAAAGGTCCAGCCATTTCTGCACAACACAGGACAACTCTGGTGCTAGACTGGCCACAGATTTATTTGTCAGCATAATAGTTTGACTTCCTTTGTCCAGTCTTGCTCTCTTTTCCTACATTTCAACTAGTAAATATAATGCATTTCTTTTACACAACAGACATACTGTACATCAGCCTTCATCTGGAAGATCCATCCTGTGTCCAAGACTTACAAAGATTAATTTATAAATGTAGTTAACCCTTCAGTTTAACATGGATTTGTTATCTTTTAGAGAAGTCACTGACAAAATATGGGTTTTGATTTAAGTATCCAAGTATATGACACATTACACCAGAAAATCAGACTTTCAGAGATCAGAAGGAAAAAGTTAGTGTAGTATAGCAAGAATTTCTAGAAAAGTTAACTTTAGATGAGAAGTAATTTTAAAAAAAGAGAGAAGTAATTGAGTGAGTTGGTAAAATTGTAACTTTTTCTAAGGCTACTAAATCCTTGACAAAGGGTTCTGTTAAAATTCAATAAAAATTTATACATATATGTATGTATTTAATGTTCAGTAAGTATTGACAGTGAAGAAACAAATGAGTAGTATTTGCCTAATGTAGAAGACCATATTGCTATTCCCAAATATTTGTATATCAGTCTTCGTAAAAAGAATATGTCTCTCTTCCCTATTGAAGTTAGGCATGGCCAGGTGACTTGCTTTGGCCAACGAATTGAGCAAAAGTTACTTGTTATTGCAGCAATGACTTGGACTATCCTGACTGAAGTATCCCAAATTACTTACTATCCAACCACTCCAGAGAGAGCCGATGCTACCATGTATTATCCTTGAAGACTTCTTTTATGATTTATACTCACATGCATGTTATATATATGTGTGTATGTTTATGTGTATACTACACCATATACAACATATGCTGTTTTTTTAACCTTTTATACCCATGCTAGTGTTGTCATCATTCCAAATCATTAAATGCAGTTATGTATCGTTTATTCACATTTGAAAATTTACATACTCTTTGTATCATTAACATAAAAATTCCATGCTCATCTTTGATGTCATTTAAAATTCTGGATAGTGGGGAGAGGACAAGATGGCCTACTAGAAGCAGCGGTGATTGGAGGCTCCCATCAGAAAAACCATAATAAGTGTGTGAATCCTTCACTGGCAGCCATGGTATCCAAGTTCTCTCATCAAAATTGATGTGAAGGTTTGTCAAAGATCAGATAGTTGTAGATGTGTGGTGTTATTTCTGAGGCCTCTATTCTGTTCCTAATGTAAATGACAGGTTGATGGTACAGCAAACCAACATGGCACATGTATACCTACGTAACAAACCTGCACATTGTGCACATGTACCCTAGAACTTAAAGTATAATGATAAAAAATAAATAAATAAAAGTCGCTGCTATTGTAAAAAAAAAAATTGACTAGAAGGCGGGCATTACCCACCGAGAGAAGGAAGAGCAGTGTGGTATGGTGGACCATCTGAAAGCAACACGGGAAAGGGGAGCCCCCACTCCCCAGAGAAGGGAGACTGTGAGTGGTGTGATACCCAGCTGGGGAAACTGTGCTTTTTCCACAGAACTGTGCAACCCACCAATCGGAAGATCCCACTTGTGAACCCATGCCACCAGGGCCTAGCACCAAACTCTGAAACAAGCAGATTCTTACCGCCTCTCAGCTGGAATCTGCTTAAGCCTATCAGACTCCCATGGGGAGATGCGATCAGCATTGGCTGCAGCTGCCTGCTGTCTAAGCCATTTGAGCTCCTTGGGGGAGGGACAGCAGCCAGCACTGGGACTCACAACTGCCAAACATGCTAAGCTCCCTGGGCAAGGGAAGGGTGGCTGTCATTTCTATAGCTCCAGGCTTCCTCTGCTAGAGGCAGGGAGGCTGAACAGCTTGTTCCCAAGACTTGTCCTGACAGCCCAACCTACCACCTGTGGCAGTCTGTGGCCATAGTGCTTCTTCAGGCCCAGCCGTAACCCATCCTTCCTCAGTGGATGGGGCTTCCCTGCAGGATCTCCAGTAACTCCAGCCAGAGGCTCAGGAACAGAATTCGGATCTCCCTGGACCTGAAACCCTAGGGGGAGGAGTGGCCGCAGTCTCTGCGGACCAGCAGACTTAGCCTTTCCTCCTGGTAGTTCTGAGGAATCCAGGCAGCCCAGATGAGTGGGTTTCCCCACAGCAAAACATACCCTTCCACCAAGGGACAAAGTGCTTCCTTAAATAGTTCCTGCTCCCATGCCACCCAACTGGATGAGACCATCCAACGGGGGTAGTCAGACACCCTATACAGGAGTGGTCCTACTGGCATCAGTTTGGTGCCCCTCTAAGACAGAGGTCCCAGCAGAAGAAGCAGGCAACCAACTTTGCTGCTCTGCAGCCTCCTTGAGTGACATCTCCAGGGACAGGAACGAATCAGATGAATAGGGCCTGAAGTGAACTCTAGCAAACTGTGGCAGCCCTACAGAAGAGGGATCTGACTACTGAAAGAAAAACAAGCAGAAAAGCAACAACAGCATCAACAACAACAACAAAAAGATCTCCACAAAAACCCCATTCAAGGTTCAGCAGCCTCGAAGATGAAAACTGGACAAACTCATGAAGATGAGAAAGAATCAATGAAAAAATGCTAAAAACCCAAAAGGCTAGAGGGCCTCTTCTCCTCCAAATGATTGCAATGTCTCTCCATCAAGGACAAAGAACTGGGTGGGGGAGCAAATGGATGAATTGACAGAAGTAGGCTTCAGAAGATGGGTAATATAAAACTACGGTGAACTAAAGGAGCATATTCTAACCTAATGCAAAGAATGCTAAGAACCTTGATAAAAGGTTAGAAGAATTGCTAACTAAAATAACCAGTTTAGGGAGGAACATAAACGACCTGATGGAGCTGAAAAACACCTCATGAGAACTTCGTGAAGCATACAGAATATCAACAGCTGAATAGACCAGGCAGAAAGAAGAAAGGATATCAGAGTTTGAAGACCACTTTACTGAAATAAGACATGCAGACAAGAATAGAGAAAAAAAATGAAACAAGCCTCTAAGAAATATGAGTCTTCATAAAAAGACCAAACCTATAATTGATCGGAGTGCCAGAAGGAGATGGGGAGAATGGAAATAAGCAGGAAAACACACTTCAGGATATTATGCAGAAGAACTTCCCCAACCTAGCAAGACAGGCCAGCATACAAATCCAGGAAATACAGAGAACACCACTAAGATACTCCATGAGAAGATTAACCCCAAGACACATAATCATCAGATTCTTCAAGGTAGAAATGAAGTAAAAATTGTTAAGGGCAGCCAGGGAGAAAGGCCGGGTCACCTACAAAGGGAAGCCCCTAAGACTAACAGTGGAACTCTCAGCAGAAACTCTACCAGCCAGAAGAGATTGGAGGCCAATATTCAATATTCTTAAATGAAAGAATTTCCAGCCCACAATTTCATATCCAGCCAGACTAAGCTTCGTAAGCAAAGAAGAAATAAAATCCTTTCCAGACAAGCAAATGCTGAGGGATTCTGTTACCACCACGCGTGCCCTGCAAGAGCTCTTAAAAGAAGCACTAAATATGGAAAGGAAAAACCGGTACCAGCCAGTGCAAAAATACACCAAAATATAAAGACCAATGACACTACGAAGAAACTCCATCAACTAGTGTGCAAAATAACCAAATAGCAGCATGATGACAGGATAAATTCACATATACCAATACTAACCTTAAATGTAAGTGGGCTAAATGCCTCAATTAAAAGACACAGACTGGCAAATTGGATAAGGAATCAAGATCCATCAGTGTGCTGTATTTAGGAGACCCATCTCATGTGCAAAGACACACATAGACTCAAAATAAAGGGATGGAGGAAATTTACCAAGCAAATGGAAAGCAAAAAAAAAAAAAAAAGCAGGGATTGGAATCCTAGTCTCTGACAAAACAGACTTTAAACCAACAAAGATTAAAAAAGACAAAGAAGAGCATTACACAATGGTAAAGGGAACAACTCAAAAAGAACAGCTAACTATATTCTAAATATGTATGTACCCAATACAGGAACATCCAGATTCATAAAACAAGTTCTTAGAGACCTATGAGGAGACTTACACTTCCACAAAATAGTAGTGGGAAACTTTAACACCCATTGTCAATATGAGACAGATCAACAAGACAGGAAATTAACAAGGATATTCAGGACTTGAACTTAGCTCTGGATCAAGCAGACCTAGTAGATATCTACAGAACTCTCTACCCCAAATCAACAGAATGTACATTCTTCTCAGTGCCACATGGCACTTACTCTAGAATCAACCAAATTAATTGGAAGTAAATCACTCCCCAGCAAATGCAAAAGGACTGAAATCATAACAGTCTCTCAGACCACAATGCAATCAAATTAGAACTCAGGATTAAGAAACTCACTCAAAACCACACAATTTCCTGGAAGTTGAACAACCTGCTGCTGAATGACTCCTGGGTAAATAATGAAGTTAAGGCAGAAATAAAGAAGTTCCTTGAAACCAGTGAGAACAAAGAAACAATGTACCAGAATCTCTGGGACACAGCTAAACCAGTCTTGAGAGGGAAGTTTATAGCACTGAATGCTCGCATCAGAAAGCTAGAAAAATTTCAAATTGACACCCTAACATCACAATTAAAAGAGCTAGAGAGGCAATAGCAAATGAATCCAAAAGCTAGCAGAAGACAGGAAATAACTAAGATCAGAGAAGAATTGAAGGAGATAGAGACACATAAAAAAAAAACTCCAAAAAATAAATGAATCCAGGAACTGGTGTTTTGAAAAAATTAACAAAATACACAGCCTCCTAGCTAGACTAATAAAGAAGAAGAGGGAGAAGAATCAAATAGGCACAATAAAAAATGTTAAAGGGGATATCACCACTGACCCCACAGAAATACAGACTACCATCAGAGAATACTATAAACACCTCTACGCAAATAAACTTAGAAAATCTAGAAGAAATGGATAAATCCCTGGACACATATACCCTACTAAGACTAAACCAGGAAGAAGTCTAATCCCTGAGTAGACCAATAACAAGTTCTGAAATTGAGGCAGTAAACAAACAAACAAAAGCCCCGGACCAGATGGATTCACAGCTGAATTCTACCAGAAATACAAAGACGAGCTGCTACCATTCCTTTTGAAACTATTCCAAACAATTGAAAAAGAGGGGCCCCTTCCTAACTCATTTTATGAAGCCAGCATCATCCTCATAACAAAACTGGGAAGATAAACAACAAACACAGAAAACTTCAGGCCAATATCCCTGATGAACGTCAGTGCAAAAATCCTCAATAAATTACTGGCAAACTGAATCCAGCAGCACATCAAAAATCTTATCCACCACGATCAAGTTGGCTTCATCCCTGGGATGCAAGGCTGGCTTAACATATGCAAATCAATAAATGTAATCCATCACATAATCAGAACCAGTGACAAAAACCAAATGATTATCTCAATAGATGCAGAAAAGGCCTTTGATGAAATTCAATGTTCTTTCAAGTTAAAACTCTCAATAGACTAGATATTGACAGAACATATCTCAAAATAGTGAGAGCTATTTATGACAAACCCACAGCCAATATCATATTGAATGGGCAAAAGCTGGAAGCATTCCCTTTGAAAATTGGTACAAGGCAAGGATGCCCTGTCTCACCACTCCTATTCAATATAGTGTTGGAAGTTCTGGCCAGGGCAATCAGGCAAGAGAAAGAAATAAAGGGTATTCAAAGAGAGAGGAAGTCAAGTTGTCTCTGTTTGCAGATGACATGATTTTGTATTTAGAAAACCCAATCATCTGAGCCCAAAAACTTCTTGAACTGAAATGCAACTTCAGCAAAGTCTCAGAATACAAAATCAATGTCCAAAAATCACAAGCACTCCTTTATGGTAACAGTAGGCAAGCAGACAGCCAAATCATGAATGAACATTCATTCACAATTGCTAGAAAGAGAATAAAATACCTAGGAATAGAGCTAACAAGGGATTTGAAGGACCTCTTCAAGGGGAACTACAAACCATTGCTCAAGGAAATAAGAAAGGGCACAAACAAATGGAAAAACATTCCATGCTCAAGGATAGGAAGAGTCAATATCATGAAAATGGCCATACTGTCCAAAGTAATTTATAGATTCAATGGTATCCCCATCAATCTACCACTGACATTCTTCACAGTGTTAGAATAAAACCATTTTAAATTTCATATGGAATCAAAGAACACCCGTTTAGCCAGGACAATCTTAAGCAAAAAGAACAAAGCTGGAGGCATCACGCTACCTGACTTCAAACTATGCTACAGGGCTACAGTGATCAAAACAGCATGGTACAGGTACCAAAACAGACATATAGATCAATGGAGCAGGACATAGATCTCAGAAATATCACCACACATCTGCAACTATCTGATCTTTGACAAACCTGACAAAAACAAGCAATGGGGAAAGGATCTCCTATTCAGTAAATGGTGCTGGAAAAACTGGCTAGCCATATGTGGAAAACTGAAACTGGAACCCTTCCTTAATGCCTTATACAAAATTTAGTGCAAGATGGCTTAACGGCTTAAATGTAAAACCCAAAATCATAAAAACCCTAGAGGAAAACCTAGGCTGTACTATCCAGTACATAGGCATGGACAAAGATGTCATGACAGAAACGCCAAAAATAATTGCAACAAAAGCCAAAACTGACAAATGGGAACTAATTAAACTTAAGAGCTTCTGCACAGCAAAAGAAAGTATCATCAGAGTCAACAGGCAACCTACAGAATAGGAGAAAATTTTTGCAAGCTACCCATCTGACAAAGGTCTAATATCCAGAATTTACAAGGAACATAAACACATTTACAGTAAAAAGACAACCCTCCCGAAAAAAGTGGGCAAAGGATATGAACACTTCTCAAAGAAGACATTTACACGACCAACAAACATGAAAAAAATCTCAACATCACTGATCATCAGAGAAATGCAAATCAAAACCACAACGAGATACCATCTCATGCCAGTCAGAATGACAATTATTAAAAAGTCGGGAAACAATAGATGGTGGCGAGGCTGTGCAATAGGAATGCTTTTACTTGTTGGTGGGATTGTCAGCCTTTGTGGAAGACAGTGTGGCGATTTCTCAGGGATCTAGAACCAGAAGTACCATTTGACTCAGCAATCCCATTATAGGGTATATACCCAAAGGATTATAAATCATTCTACTATGAAGACACATGTACACATATGTTTATTGCAGCACTATTTACAATAGCAAAGACAGGGAAGCAACCCAAATGCCCATCAGTGATAGACTGGATAAAGAAAATGTGGCACATATACACCATGGAATGCTATGCAGCCGTAAAAAGAAATGAGATCATGTCCTTTGCAGGGATATGGATGAAACTGGAAGCCATCATTCTCAGCAATCACAGGAACACAAAACCAAATACTGCATGTTCTCACTTATAAGTGGGAGTTGAACATTGAGAACACATGGACACAGAGAAGAACAAAACACACCAGGGCCTGTTGGGGTGGAGGGTGAGGAGAGGGAACTTAGAGGACGGGTCAATAGGTGCAGCAAACCACAATGGCATACATATACCTATGCAACAAACCTGCACATTCTGCACATATATCTCGTTTTTCTTTAGAAGAAATAAATAAAAAATAATTTTTGGATAAATTTAAAATTCTTAAAACAAATTCCATCAATGATTATTTTAACAGATTTTATTAAGCTTTTGAATCTGGCTTTTTAATATTTAAAAACCACATGTTTTCTCTATGAGGGCACTGAGTTGGCTTGCTTAACACCAGCTTTTTTGTCATAATGTCAAGGGTTGAGCACAAGTATGTTTTCTTTTTTGCCAAATAGGGTTTCTACTGTGTTTTCCTTGATAAAAATCATTTCAAGAAACTTCATATCTTGATTATGGTAATTACATGCCAAGCCTACTAATTTGTTTTGAAGTAAATATTGAGAGATATTTTACCCAAAATTCTCAAGTATAATTTTCTCAAGTGATTTTTGGTAATTGATTCAAATTTGAGCACCAATAACTTCTTTTAACATTTTGCTAAGAGTGACTTTCAAATGATATTTTCAGCCCTCGCATAGGGAAAGCATTACCTGAATTCATCCCAAACAGACTAGATGGGATTTTGTTCTTTCCCTTGAAATATTTTTAAAGTAACCTTCTAATGGCAAATGGCACTAAGTCAAGAGAATGAAGGGATATTTTTAGCTCTGATTCACTGACTACCTAACAAGATTTTGGCATAAAAGCGTAAAACATATTATGAGGAGCAATGGTGTTGGTCTTTGCTGCTTGAAGTTTCAGGATTTTTATTCAAAACATCAGTGATGTTTGCCAAATATATCAGGGTCCTGAGAAAGTTATTATTTTTGAAAGTTTGCAAGTGTCCAATGATTGAAAAAAAAGTTCTTTTTTCCAGAGTATCTGTAATTTCATACCCATGCACAGCAAGAGATTAAGTACATTTTCTTTATCCATGGATTGAGCAAAGCTAGTAGTAAAAAAAGAAGAAAAAGAGTGATGAGTTGATTGTTGGCTATTTTTTCATTTGACAGACAAGTCAGGAATTTGACATTTGCTCATAGGTACTGACAAATAGTTTGGAGTTTCTACCCATTTTAACTTTTGGCAGTACTCCAGATAGAAAAATTTGTGAGTTTTTCCCCTAGCTATATATGAGGGATTTTGTTTGTTTGTTTGCTGTTAAGAGAGCTACTTGGAACCAATTTTTTACAATTTTACGGATTCTTAACAGTATATTTTACTACTCTTCATTTTCTCATGTTTCAGAGCACAATACTCTGTAGGTAATTTGAATTTTTAAAAATAATGTTGGTGTGATCCTTTTCTCGTTGAGTTTGAGAAACCTAATTACTTTGCCTCTTTATATACACTATATTGAAATAATTTAAAAATACAGTTTTACTTAAATCACGGAGATCTTACCTAAAGATGCTATGCTTCAGGCTAGCCATAAGAATAGCAATATAATTTGCCTCTTTCATCATATGTAGCAAACAGATAGTTCATATACTTCATTGTTTACCATTACTTTCTCTGAAAGCATTGTTATTCTACATTGTGTATAATATACATCTAGCCAGGAAGATTTAGATATACTCTATTCGTAACATAAATTTATTTTTCAAACTATTTCTCCCATTTGAGAGATTTTTAGTTTGTCTTGTCTTGGAGTCTAGCTTACAACTTTTGCCCCATAAGTAATCAGATATTCATGACCATGTTTAAGAGTTCCTCTGTATTTTGCATTGTAAAATCTTAATAACATTGCTTCTAATACATTCCTCTGAATTTTCTCTTGGAACAAGTCTCCCTAAAATTGTTACCACTGGGTCAAATTATATGAACAAAATTATAAATGCTTCATTTTTAATTAAGAAGAGAAAGATTATATATTGTCATGTATTTCATTGCCATTATTCTTTTCCTTATAGTCATAAGTAAACTCCTAAATTGTGAATACTTTTTTATTCATCTTTATACATTTTGTAATACTTCACTTATTATAAGAGTTTGAAAATTATGATTTTTTCATTAGCATGCCAAAAAATGGGGTAACCAAATTAACAAATTGTTTAATATTTTATATTTGATTATGTGTTCCAGAATTACTGTTTTGAAAATTAAAAGTAGGCCAGGCGCAATGGCTCACACCTGTAATCCCAGCACTTTGGGAGGCCAAGGTGGGCGGATCATGAGGTCAGGAGATTGAGACCATCCTGGCCAGCATGGTGAACCCCCCTCTCTACTAAAAATACAAAAATTAGCTGGGCATGGTGGCTTGTGCCTGTAGTGCCAGCTACTCGAGAGGCTGAGGCAGGAGAATCGCTTGAACCCGGAAGGCAGAGGTTCCAGTAAGCTGAGATGGCACCACTGCACTCCAACCTGGCAACAGAGCAAGACTCCATCTAAAAATAATAATAATAATAAAAGTAACAGGTACCTGAAGCTCATTACAATACGGTTCAGTTTTCTGAGTCACGCATTTAGTACCTTTTAGAACCTAGATTATTTTTTAAAAGACTCTATTATTCACCCCTGTAGTCAGCAAAAGTTATTTCAGGATGGCTGTATTTGATTCCTCTGTCTTCCTTCCCTTTATCTGTTCTCTCTTCCGTTAGTTCTTTGTTTCTAACTCTGTTCATTCATGTTGCTTTCACCCTGTGATTTCGAGATCTTCCATATTCCTATCAGAGTGGCTCCAGAAAGTGTTTGAGAGTTAAGATATTCCTGAGTACTATTTCAGTTCCTTTTTTCTTTCTTTCTACCCTGACTTGGACTCCAGAATATTTTGTGTGGCCCACTTTGTCAGCCTGTTTTTTTTCTTCCTTTTTAAACAATTCTTGAGCATATTCAATGATCACAGCATTTCATTCTCATTCCTCTAAAAAATCAGCCTGGCTTCAAAATAGCATGAACGTCCTTTTCAAGTGACTGTTTGACTCCATGAACATTTGTTATATGATTTAGGCTTGTGAATGGTTTGCCAGAGGGCATATAAATCATACTGCTTAACCCTTTCCTCCACTATTTGAAGAGAGCACATTTTACACATTCTTCTAATGCTGGAATAGCATATGGTTCTACAGAATGGTTTACTTCTAGCAAATTTTTCTTAATTTTTTGAAACATCCCAAAACTATACACTGAGTTTATTTAGTTTACAAAAAGAAAATCATTTATACTTAATAAGTTTTATGTGGTATTTATATATATATGGATATAGAAATATGTTTGGTTTTAAGAATTAACTCCTACAAGATTGAAACCACTTCAGACACTTGAACTATTAAAGCATGAATACCTGCATTCCTTTTATCAGAGAAGAATAGTTTGCAATAGTCTTACTGCCTGGACAGAGCTATATAATTTGTCTATCCATGATGTCATTGCCAGAAGCCAAATAGTAAGTTTTTTGTTTTAATGGAAGGGATTTTTCAGGTTGCTGGTTTACATGATGGGAATGCATTTGGAAATGCTTCCTGTTCCAGTCACCAGCCCCAGGCTGCCCGTACATTTTGGATTCAGAAATGACAGCTGAAATCATTTAGACAGAATTATGGGACATGTAAGACACGTACAGGTTTATTATGACCAAAAAGAAGAAAGAGAATACATGTTATGACTAAAAAGAAATGGCTAATTTAATTAGGCATAAACTATTGCACTGTGATTGCTATGAGAGGATTTTTATGTAGTATAAAATACTGTGTACGATAACTACTTTTACCCTCTTTAGGGAATATGTATGTGGTATACTGGTAGAATTTTAAATCTTTCCTAAATGGCTTAAAACCAGGTAAAAATAAAACATAAACAGGCATTGTAATGTGTCAAATAAGTCTATACAGGAACAGTGGAATACTTGAGAATAACATATCTGAGTGTTTGATGATGAAATAGTTTGCAGACCATATTGTCTCTATCATCATACCATGTCTTATGATGCAACTTGAGGCATAATAATCTAGTTGTAATTATAATCTTGTCTTCAGAGTAGAGAGACAGCACTTTTTTACTGGTTCATGAATGGCTTGTTTTTGTTGTTAAAGATGATATGGAATTTTAATATAGCATTAAACCTGAATAACATTTGATAAAATGCTTGCAATGTTTTGTTTGTTATTCACTGTTTTGAAAACGGACTCCTCTAGGCCAGGCATGATGGCCCAAGCCTGTCATCCTAGTGCTTTGGGAGGCCAGGGTGGAAGGATCACCTAAGACCAAGAGTTCGAGACTAGCCCGGACAACATAGTGAGAGTCCGTTTCTGTAAAAATTAAGAAAATTAGTCAGATGTAGTGGCACATGCCTGTAGTCCTAGCTACTTGGGAGGCTAAAGAGGGAGGATCCCTTGAGTCTAGGACTTTGAAGTTATGGTGAGCTATGATCACACCACTACACTCCAGCCTGGGTGACAGAGAGAGACCCTGTCTCAATAGATAGGTAGGTAGATAGGTAGGTAGGTAGGTAGACAGATAGAGCCCCTTTGATATATAATGTACAGTGGGTACAGACTTCCTCTGTTAAACACCCTGAATGCCTGTGATTTCGTTTTAAAGGATAAGTTGGTTAAACTTTCCTTTCCCTTTTTTCTCATTAATGAATGATTCTCATGTATTGGAACTCACATTATAATTTTATTAGTTATAATTTGGAAGTGAAGTAGATAAGTACTGTAAAGCATAACAGGGAAAAGTGCAATTTCAAAGTCAATTTAATCTTGTGGACTGCATATAAGAGCAGTTTGAACCTAACTGCTCAGTAATTTCATGTTTTAATTCTTATAGCAATGTAGGCTGAATAAAACAGAGGTTATACCTAGAGGAAAATGGCATTGATTGCTGTAGAAGAAAGGAGGGTTCAGCTTCTGTAAGTTTTCTTCAGTTGCCTCTAGCAGTAACAGTTTCCCAATAAATTACATGACTGTAATAAGGTGCAGGTGAAGTAGATTAAAAACTATTATGAAAGGATAGTGAGTTATTTCAAAGTTCAGAACCACCCTTAAGTGTGGTTGTAGTGAAATGTGTGTGGTGTGTGCACTGTGTCTCAGACATGGGACACTGGTAATGAAGATGACATTGGCCAGTGGGAAAATAAGCATCAAGGCATCCACCCTTGCTTCCTTGGCCACACTAATAATTACTGTCATTGCCATAAAATTTGGGACCACATGGGGTACCACAGAAAAATAGAAATTATTGCCCTTTTTCTTCAGAAAATAGTGGACTTCTGATATTTCCTCTTACCATTGAAAGGGTGGCTTAGAGTTTTTATAATGGGTTCATTCACCTGGAAGAGGTTGGAGTGTCTATAATCAGATGGCATGTATACCCAAGGGAGCTTCTTAAACAAGCAGAGATCAATCAGGGAATTTTTATGCTTCCCTTTTGCACCGTATTGACTAGTTTGTAACATATCCCATTTTTAAAACAATGTGTTCACTTAAAGTTTTCATCAATTTCAAAACAAAATATAACAAATTTGGTGTTTACACATAAACTATGCCTACCTATTTAACATTAAATTCAGAATTATTTTTTGTAGTCTTTCTGTATCCTTATGCCAGTGAAACTATTTTCATTTGTGTGTATGTTATAAAATCTATACAAAGCTTGAATATATTGACTGTCCTTTCACTGTCAAATAGAAAATTAAATGAAACAGAAGTTAAGGATATAGAGTCTGTGTTTAATCTAACTTTCAAGAGAGGATTTCTGTTGGTCATCTCCATGGAATGGCTTCCTTATTTTTAGCCTAGATGCAAAAACTAGGGCTATGCTATTTTCAATGTCACATTTTGGCAGTGCTCCTGAAGAACATCGAAATTAGCTTACAAATATTGTGTACACCAGGCTTGACATTGTAGGAGAATGGAAACAAATACATGTGTTCAGGAAGGGGCTTTATTTGGATTTTTGCTTGAAGGGAAAAGTCTAGTTTGAAAGCCAATGCTAATGCAAAAGCAGAATTTCTCTGAGGAACTTTCTATCTCATGAATAGGAGGTCTGATCATTTGAAGAGTCAACAATTGGAAAACCTCACTTCATGAATAATGTTAGGTAAAGAGAAACATAAGCACTTACTGAAAGAGGAAGCCTATTAACAGTTCTCCTATACTTGTTTCTGCCCTGGAAATGGCAAAATTTCATGTCCAAGAGGTGGTCTGAGTTTCAGATAGCTTTCTTACCAGTGGCTTTAGATGGAGGGATATTGCTTCTTTCCCTTGACCCAAGGTCAGATTCAAAACAGGGTAAGGGATGGAGAGAGGAAAATATGCAAAGGTGAGTGTTGTTTTCTAGCTTGTTTTTTACCTTTTCTTTGATCTGGCCTCTCTGTCCTCCTCTTTTAAAAGGGGCAGTTCTCCACTCACGCCTGTTTTAAAATGGACATTATATACGTAATTAATCTTTCTAGTTTTCTTCTGTGTCTTTCATTTTGAGCCTCATGGCTGTTGTTGCACCACATGACTAAGATGAGTCAGTATAGTTCTCAGATCTGCATATGACTGCAGTTAACTGAGACTCAACTGTGAAAATGCCTATTAGTAAAATGTCTTTTCAATTTTCTGTGGTCTTTCCATGTTCTGTCTTTTAACAAGGGGTTATTTTTCTCTTGCTTTTTATATTGATCCAGCCACAGAGAAATCAAATCAATATGGGAAACCCACAGTCTAAACCTCATAAACTCTTTTACAGAAAACATTTCACCTCAAGAGGGTTATGATTTCAGATACCCTCCTCGGATTCCTTCCCCTGGAGATACTCCTGCACCTATGTAAATAACCAGATAAATGCTACCTGATGGGTTAGTCAACAGCAGGAAAAGAGGATACTGGGTTTTTTGTTTTTATTTTTGTTTTTGTTTTGTTCTCGCTCTGTCACCCAGGCTGGGGTGCAGTGGCACGATCTTGGCTCACTGCAACCTCTGACTGCTGGGTTCAAGCAGTTCTCCTGCCTCTGCCTCCCAATTAGCTGGGACTACAGGCGTGCACCACCACACCCGGCTGATTTTTTATATTTTTAATAGAGATAGGTTTTCACTGTGTTAGCCAGGATGATCTCTATCTCCTGACCTCGTGATCTGCCTGCCTCGGCCTCCCAGAGGATACTGATTTTGAAAGGAATATATGCTAGTGTGGGGCTTGAGTCTTCAGAGCCTCTTTCTGCGCTCACTCTGTCTGCTGCTTGGTTTCTAAGTCAAGCCACACTTGATAGCTTCCTTTAAAACCACCGACTTCATGGAAGGCATTCAGGTGTAACCTTGTCAGACACAAGTATATCTGGTAGCATTAAGGCATAGCAATGGTGATGGAGTAAAGGGGAAAGTGTGGGAAGAAGAGGTGAGGCATAATTTAGTGAAGGAAAGAGGAGATGTTAGCCCATAGCCATGGTAGGGATTGGAGGGAAGCAATCTTTTGGATATGCGTAGTTACCAGGGGTCTAGTCTATAGGTGGTCCTCTTGGTATTAGGATAAGAAATAGCCAGAGATCAAGCCAGATGCATCTGAGCTTATTAGTATGTCATCACAGGAGAGTGAGCTGTTGGTCATATGCCATAGTGATGTTCTGTTCAGAACTTTATAACCAGCAGTGCCTTTTGGCATCATTCTTAAGTGTAGTTCTGTATTTCTGGATAAGTGCAAATCATAAGGGTCACATAATCCAATGAGTAAAACTAAGGAAAGAATGTATAAAGAAAAAAGATATGTATAATATAATGAAATTTGTAATTCAGGCACATGTAATGCAGTCCTAGGCACAATACTATGTATTTAAAAAGAGAGAGGGAAAACAAACTGTTTTTAGTTTAGGTAAAATAGAAATTTGTGAAACATCAATGTTAAGGTGGAAAATGTGACATTGTAGTACCTCTTGTTCCCTCTTCCATATGAGATTCTCCATATTCTTGCCTCTAATCACTCAGAGCACTCTGAAGTTAGTGATATAATGCTGGATGTAGTTTCAGTGATTATATATAGAGAGTGGTGGCATGGGAATGGGAATGTCTGGGCATGCACATAGGAAGAACACATATGTAAAGATTAAATGCAACTCCTAGAAGTTCCTAGGGAACTTTTGACTATATGTATCATTCCTGTTTTTATTTCAATCTCTTCCAACAATTCTTCCCTAATTCCCTACCTCTAAACACGCTACAGAAAATCACCGTCATCATCATCATCATGAATCATCATCACCTATAGTATCCACAATGTGCTGGACAATGTTCTGAAACTGCTATGGATGTTTACCAGTTAATTTTCACAATAACCATGTGAGGTTAATATGAAAATTGAACTAGGATTGTCTTCATTACAGAGGTTATGTGACCTGCTCAAAGTTATGTAATGCTGATTTACAGAGATTATGTCACCTGCTCAAAGTTATGTAATACTGATTTACAGAGGTTATGTCACCTGCTCAAGGTTACACAGCTGAGGAAGCCATGTGTGTATAGATGATGTGTGCGCATACACATAGTACGTTTTCGTGCCCTACATCTAAAAAATAACCTAAAATTTTAAAGGTTTAGGAAAGTCTTTTAAGTTTTCCCAGATCTCATTTCTAGAGATGATCTTTTTCCTGCAATTCTTGATGCTAATGTCATTGGATTTGGAGGATCAGGAATTTTTTTCTCCAGTCCTAATGTATTTCCTTCCTCATAGTTTTGTTGTTTCATTTTAAACAAGAAGCTTGAATACTTTATTCTTAGAAAAGTTTAAGATAATTCACAAGCATATAATATTCACAGAATGCTAGCTGTGTGAGTGTAGAGTTCATCTTATTTATGCAAAGTTGGCATTCTATAAATACATGCCATATATATAACACCATAAATGTTCTTTTGTACCCACCACTATTCCACTTCTTTAATTTGTTAACTTTAGAGGATCACATTAACATATGTTTTTATATTGAACTATTTCTCATTTCTAAGATTAGCCTTGTTTGGTCTTGATGTGTTAGTTTTTTAATGCCATATTGAATTTTAGCACCTACTGTTATTATTTTTAGAATATATACATCTGTGACTGTGATCATAGAGAGATTGTTTTAGTTCCCTCCATCCCTTTCTTGTGCTTGCCTAGTTTGACAATGTGTTTTAAAGAAGAAGTAGGAAGCATTCTTATCTTTTTCTGTACTCTGGAATAACTTGTATATGTTATTTGAAGATTCGGAGCATTTTTTATTAAAACAGTCTGAATTCAGTACCTTTTTAGTTATAGCCCTTCCTATGTCTTACAAATTTTGTAACTTATGTTTTATTTAGAAAAACATTTTTTTCCTAGATATCAAATGTACTGGTTTAAAGATGTACAGTGCTGTATTTTAAAATCTTCACAATTTTAGTTGTCACTTTTCCCATTCTTTCCTCTTCTTTCCTCTCCTTTCCTCTCCTCTCCTCTCCTCTCCTCTCCTCACCTCTCCTCCCCTCCCCTCTCCTCTCCTCTCCTCTCCTCTCCTCTCCTCTCCTCTCCTCTCCTCTCCTCTCCTCTCCTCTCCTCCCCTCCCCTCCCCTCCCCTCCCCTCTCCTCTCCTCACCTCTCCTCTCCTCTCCTCTCCTCTCCTCCCTTCCCCTCCCTTCCCCTCCCTTCCCCTCCCTTCCCCTCCCCTCTCCTCCCCTCCCCTCCCCTCCTTTCCTGACAGAGTCTTGCTCTGTCTCCCAGGCTGGAGTGTAGTGGCTTGATCTTGACTCACTGCAACCTCCGTCTCTCGTGTTCAAGCAATTCTCCTGCCTCAGCTTCCCGAGTAGCTGGGATTGCATGCACTTGCCATTGCACTTGGCTAATTTTTTTTTTTTTTTTTTTGAGATTTTTAGTAGAGATGGGGTTTTGCCATATTGCTCAGGCTGGTCTTGAACTTCTGACCTCAAGTGATCCGCCTGCCTCAGCCTCCCAAAGTGCTGGGATTACAGACATAAGCCACCATGCCCACCCTTGTTTTTCTCATTCTTAATGTTGATTATGTCTTGGCAAACTCCTCACTTAATAAAAAAAATCAGACTTGCCAAAGGTTGGTTTGTTTTATTAGGCTTTTCATAGAAGTGGGTTTTTGTTTAATTGTTCAAACTTATTGTTTTCTAGTTTTTCTATTTAATGTCTGCTATTAACTGCATTGATCCCTTCTCTCTCTTTTTTTTCTTGTCTCTTTTGTTTTCTCTAGCTTTACTTTATTGGTTGTTTTATTCATTTTTAGTCATTTTTATGTTAAAATAAATACATTTAAAGGTCTAAATTTTCTTGTTGATGCTCTGACCAAATTTAATTGCTTTGAAATGTAGTATATTTATTATCATTCATTTTTTACTGATTTAAGTATTTTTAGACTTTTTTAACTTTTTGTACATTTTTAGGAAAATAGATTTTTCTATTCATTCCTCCCTTTCTCATTCTCTCTCTTCAACTGATTTTCTTTCTTCCTTATTTTCCTCCTGCTGCCATTGAACTTAAAACACCATTGATTGGAAGAAACCTTATTGATATACTACTAAAAAAGAAAAAATGCACTGAATTAAACTATGATTGAATGCCTTCTTATTCCGAATTTTTATTTTATGCTTATTGAAAGAGCTAGAGAAGTTTTAATTCTGGCATTAAAAAAAAACCTTACCTGAAAATTTCAATAAATGGTTTCTAGGTAACAATTAGGGCTCACCCTTCACTGTTTCTTCTTCAGATGGTCCTTAAGTTGTTTGTTGGTGACTCATGCCATTGAGTAAACTCTGCAAATTGAGCAAAATAAAAAGTTTGCTGAGACACAGGCAATAACAACTATATTGCATTCATTGCCTGGGTAATCATAAATGAATGCTGTTGTTCCAATATCAAAAATGAAAAGAATTGTATGTCTTAGAGTTGATGAAATATAATATACTCTGATGTTAATTTTATTCAGTTTTGAGGAAAGGATGTAATATGATTTCAGCTTTCTGGAAATTTTTGAGATTTTCTCTTTGTCTCATACATTGTCAGTTTTTGTGAGTAGGCCATTTGTGTTTAAAAAGCATGTGTAGCATGAGTTTATTGGGCATGCTATTTAATTGTGTTATATCCTTTATAGCTTTACTTTTTTGGCCAATTCCATTTGTTAATTTTTGAAAGGAGTAAGCAAAACCCTTCAAGATTTTGTGAAATTTTCCGTTTCTTCTTTGATGTTTGTCAATTTTTGCTTTTAATAATGTATCCTATTGTTAGGTGTGCAAATGTTGAATACATGTTTCTTGAATTATGTTAAACGTGATTTTACATTGATATATCTGATTCCTTTTTATTGATATTTGCAATATAAATAACAAAATATCAAAAGTATAAATAAACATTTATTTTCAGACTTTCTGGATTTTTGGTATTTATTGTTCTTAGTTTGTGTTTGGGAAGCAGTATGAATTTGATTTTGTTTTAAAAACTGAGATTTTACATTTTTAATAAGCGTTTCAACACATCATGGACATGTGATTATTGATATGGTTGGATGTACTTTTCTTTTACCATTTTGTTTCTTGTGTGTGAAGCATTGAACAGATTAGATACACTTCTTGCCCTCCTGGATCTTATAGTATAATGAGCATTATTTTAAAAGAATACCTTATTTTTATCTATTATATTATAAGTAAAAAGTACTTATCATATACTGGCTTCAAAAACAAATGTTCTCTCGTTCTTTATTTGTCGTTCTCTGAGGATGGTGTTATCCTTATTTAAGGATGGGGAAGTTAATAATATGAAGTTACAAAATGGCAGTTTGGGGTCCAGAGTCATTCCTCATTTCACTAAATGCATGAAATAAAACTTTTATATAGTTACTCAGGAAAAACTCCATTGAACCTATTTTAATCATATTTTAGGTTTGTTTTTAGTGTGCTATCCTATACATAAAAGTATTCCCATCTGTACTTAGTTCCTTTTTCTCTTTGTCTGACATTTTGCCTGGACCAGAGAGAGAATAATTTCCAAATTAATCATAGTTTCTACCCTCATGGAGTTTCACTTTGATTTAGAAGCTAAATCAAAGCTTGGGTTGCCCAAGATAAAGGCAATTTTGTCTCAGAACATATCTAAGAGCATTTTCTCTGACCCATTTTCTTTGCCTTTGCCCTTCAGTTGGCTAACTTCTTTCATTCTCTACTCATGTCTTACTTAGAAGTAACTTCTTCCAGAGACCTTTCTGAAATCTCTAGACCTCATTGGGTTTCCCCTGCTGTGCCCTTGAACATCATCCAGCACTATTCTTAAAATACTACACAGCAGACTTTACTGTAATCAGTGGCATGTCTGGTTTTTTTCCATTTGCATCTGTTTCATTTACTCCTGTGTTCTTAGTGACTAGTGTTGTGCCTGGAACATATGGGCTCAAAAATTACATGATGAATGATGAAGGCTAATTTCTGCATTGTATCCTCAGCAATTATAACCTAGCATGCAATGAAAGCTTAATAACAGAACCTGAACTGTTGTTATAAATGACTACAGCAAGGTTCTTGAATGTATTATAAAACTTGTACTTCCTCAGTAATTCAGGCCTGATATTGGGGCACAAATGCTCATGTTCATTGGCTTTTACTGAATGATTAAATGTTTCAGTTTTATAAATCTTATAGTACACTCCAATAAAATAATAAAAATGTGAATAGTAACTACATGCTTTTAAAAAATTATATATAGTTTATGATATAAGCAGAAAAAGCATTAAGAAGAAGATATTTACTTGTGGACAAATCGAGCTTGCATATTTAAAAGAATAACAGCATGAGATGTTGAATATTCGTTTAAACATATCTGGATATATTTATCTTAATTTTTAATTTTGAAGATGTTTCTGTTAATTTATGAAGCATATTTGCTCAAATATATTCAGGAGTTCTAGAAACCTGAAAATTATTTTTTCTGAATATGGACATAAAGATAAGTCCAGTGATTAATTTTACTAGTAGAATATATTTGTGGTATTTTTATCTCATATAAAATAAATATTTTTTATTTGCATTTGCACTTGGAAAATATGGGATAATTGACATTATAATTGCATTGGTTAAATATGTGTGGTTTTCTAAGTTAAAGTATAAGGATATATTCAATGGAAAGGAAATGAGACACTTAACAAATTATGGACATGTATTCTTTTTAATATATAGAAATATTTAACATAAAACAGAGCCGAGAGGGAAAAATAATGATTCAATTGTGTTTAAAATTAGGGGGTGGGGAGGCATGCCACTACATACACTGAAAAATCCACCCACTTGTCTTTTATTTGCTCTGTTCAGAAGGTAATGGTGAGTTTGAAGTAGGAAAATATTGATTTATTATGTTATAGCCAGAGGGTTATTAATACATTTTTCCTTTTCTTTTCTAGCACACTGATTTATGTCAGTACATGGACAAGCACCCTGGGGGGCTGCATCCAGATAATGTGAAGGTAGGAAAAGATCTTTTTAAGCCAAAGGTTAGCATTCTTGATGTGTATTTTTTGAACTGAAGTCTAGCATCTCTACCATAACATATTTAAATTTTTTAAATTTTTTGTGTAAAGAGAAGGGATATTGAGGTGAACCAGTCATTGCTTCAGTTGAGTTGTTGGAAACCATGTTTTAACATTAAATATTTTTACTGGGGTATTAATATTTAGATCTCATCTTATATTTTCTTGCTGGAGAAACATTTGCTAATAATGAGTGAAAACCACTGGAATCCTACTTTTTAACACTTCACAGTAGAGGGGAGTCTCAGTTCTAGCTTGGAACCCATACTGATGTACCAGTTGGTTTCAACATAAAGCATCATTATGATCCAAAACAATGTTATGGTGGGTTCACAGTGCATGTCTTTTTATTTCTATGTACAAGCATATTCTACTTTCTGCTACTCTTTTTCCTTTCTTTTAGTAGAAATATTACTACCGAGTATCAAAAGAACTATGATTTCCTAAAATTTGACCTCACAATCATCTTGGGAAATTATTCCAAAATTTCAAGCTTCTTGGTATATGCAATAGAATTAGAAGAGATCAAAGTTATATCTGATATGGCTTAATTATGTACTTACATTGTGTAACTCAAATGACTACATTTCATAATCCTGAGAACCAATTGAGTATTACAGATGTATTTGAAGTAAACTTATTCATCTCAATTTCTTCCCATTTGTTATAAGAAACCCTATTAGTGATAAACTAAGAGGTCTTCACTTTATACCATAGTCGAATCACCTGGGAAACTTTCTATGTATATGTGTAAATGTGACAAGTTAATAGAGGCTTTTGTAGTGGTCAGTTACACTGTATAATTTTAAAATGTAGGAACTTATAGGAAATCTGTCAAAACATTGTTAAATAAATAATGGAATCAATATAGAAATTATAGTCTGTTGATTTTTTCATATGTCTTCTTTTTGTGTTTTATTAGATTGCCTTTCCTTAAAGTTTTTTGACTGTTCATTTTTCTTAAAAATGTGTAACCATTAACATATAGTTTATTAGTAGTTAGATTAGGTTAGAAAATTTAATGGATGAAAATACGTGTTTTATTAATCTTGTCTATGTTCAATTCCAACTCTAAATATTAGTATTATAACATGAACATAATTTTTTTAACATTAAAATCTCAAATTCTCTCATTTATACATCCACATGTTCTCAGGGTTTATTGGCTTTGAAATCAATAGTACAATACATCTTCATTCTTGTTTCCCACTCTATCCCTGAGAATGTGTTGATCACCCAGCTAGTGAGACCACTGGCCCCGGGGAGCTCAGAAGTCTACCAGCCACAGTGGAAATGAGCAGATCCTCTGAGCTAACTTTGACTTCCTGACTTTCACATTCAGTGATACAATTGAGATTAAATAACTGATTGAATCTTTCCCACAGTCATGACATCACTGGGCTTTTATTATCCCTGTTTAGTTTCTCACCAATCATGTATGTGTCATTAGTTATCAGCAACTGTTGGTGGAAAATTTTGTTGATGAAAAAAAGAAAACCTCTTTCCACAAAGCATTGCTGTGTTCTCTGTCCTCAGGCCACTGACATTGATGAATTTTGTCCCATTTTTACTATACGTTCTGCTTCTTCCATTACATTTTATTTTCCCTTATCTCCTAATGGTCATGGAGAAATGGGTCTCAAGGTTACTGTTTCTCAGTAACTGGGCTGTACCTCTAGAAACTGTCTCACCAGCTCTTATTCAAGCTTTGTGTGCTTTTCTTTCATCACATGGTCATTCATCATACTTCAAATACTTACTGTTTGCTCCTCATTCCGAGTCCAGGTTGCACCATGGTGATAAACAAGGTTTAACACTGCAGGACTTGGTGCCTCCTAGGACGTGGTGAGAAACTTAATGATGAGTGAAATGTGTAGTCAGTGTAGAAATAATGTCACAGAAATTATATGTGACACTTACAGTGAGCCTGGGTATTTATATACAGCAGGAACTTTTCCTACTTGGAAGTTGTTTAACATGGTCACCGATAGATGACTTACTACATTTTTGTTTCTAAAAAAAATGTGATGTGATTTACCTCTTCTTATTTTTTAAAATACCTTAAAAGCAGCAAAATGTATTCATCTATGGGGATTCCTTTCCTCACAACTAGTGAAATCTTTGATTTGTTGAGGATCTTCTGAAATGTCCTGGACAGTCTCAGTGCTTGGCATATTTGTGGATACAAGAAACCTCAGTAATAAACTAAGAGGTCTTCACTTTATTCTGCAGTAGAGTCACCTGGCAAGCTTTATATGTATATATATATATATACACACACACACACATATATATTCTCCCCAGAATCAGGACATCTGCATAGTATAATACTGAGAATTTTAGCCAGAGTAATCAGCCAAGAGAAAAAAATGGAAAAAATCCAAATTGGAAAAGAAGTCCTCTGATCATCTCTCCTTGCAGACCAAGTAATCTTATGTATAGAAAAATCTAAAGACTCCACCAAAAAAAGTTACAGAGCTGATAAACTAATTCCGTAAAGTTGCAGGATACAAAATCAACATATAAAAATTTGTAGTATTTCTTCCCCAATAATGAGCTGGCTGAAAAAGAAATAAAACAATTTAATTTATAATAGTTACCAAAAATTATGTAGGAATCAGTTTAACCAAGGAAGATGAAAGATCTGTATAAGAAAACTGCAAAACAGTGATCAAAGAAATTGAAGAGATACAAATGGAAAAACATCCTATGATCATGGATTAGACAAATTAGTATTATTAAAATACCATTCTACCAAAAGCAATCTACAGATTCAATACAATTCCTCAAAATACCAATAACATTCTTCATGCAGTAGATAAACAATCCTAAAATTTATATGGAACCACAAAAGAACCCAAATAGCCAAAACAATACTGAGCAAAAAGAACAAAGCTGGATACTTCATACTACGTGACTTCAAAGTACACTACAAAGCTATAGTAACGAAAACAACATGTTATGGGTATTAAAAAGAGACACCTATGTGTCTGAACAGAAAAATGCTCAGAATAGAGAACCCCCAAATTAATCTGCATACCTATAGTCAACTGATATTTGACAGAGGTGTCAAGGACATACTTTGGGGAAATAACATTCTCTTCAATAACTGGTGCTGGAAAAACTGGAAATCCATGTGCAGAAGAATGAAACAAGACTTATTTTTCACCGTATATAAAAATCAACTTCAGATGGATTAAAAGCTTGAACATAAGGCCCAAAACTATTGAACTCATGCAAGAAAACATGGGAGAAACACTTCAGGGCTTCGGTCTAGGAAAAGATTCTATGACTAAAACAGGCAACAAAAATAAAAATAATAGATAAATGGGACTATATTAAACTAATAGGCTTCTGCAAAGCAAAGGAAACAGGAGCAAAGATACAAGCTGTTGAATGGAAGAAAATATTTGCAAACTCTTCATCTGACGAGGGACTAATATTTAGATTATAAAAGGAATTCAAACAACTTAACAGCAAAAGAAACAAACTCGTTAAAAAGTAGACAAAGGACCTGAAAAAACCTGTCTTGGAAGAAGACATACAAATGGTGCATAGGTAGTAAAACATGCTCAACATGACTAATTATCAGAGAAGTAAAAATCAAAACCACAGTGAAATTCCATCTTACCCCAGTTAGGATGGCTATGATCAAAAAGACAAAACATAACAAATGTTACTGAAGATGTGGAGAAAAGGGAAGTCATACACTGTGGGAATATAAATTAGTGCAGTTATTATGGAGAACCTATGGAGGTTTCTTAAAAAACTATAAATTGAACTATCATATGATCCAACAGTCCTACTAATGGGTGTTTATCCAAAAGAAAGGAAATTTCTGCACCACCATGTTCATTGAAGCACTATTCACAATAGCAAAGATATGGAATCAATCTAAGTGTCCATCAACAAATTGATAGATAAAGAAAATGCAGTACATACATACAATGGAAGATTATTCAGCCATAAAAATGAATGAAATCCTGTCATCTGCAGTAGTATGGATGGAACTGAAGGTTATTATGTTAAGTGAAATAAGCCCCTCACAGAAAGACAAATAGGGTGTATTTATATTCATATATGGGAGCTAAAAAAGTTGATCTCATGAAGGTAGAAAGTAGAATGATAGTTACCAGAGGCTGGGAAGGATTTTGGAGTGGGGGATGAAGAGAGGTTGATTAACGAGTACAGACATACTGTTTGATAGAAGGAATATGTTCTAGTGTTGACAGCACAGTAGTCTAACAATAGTTAACAACAATACATTGCATATTTCAAAATAACTAAAAGAAAAGATTTGGAATGTTCCCAAGACAAAGAAATTATAAATATTTGAGGTCAGGGATATCCTAAATACCCATCATTATACATTGTATGATTGTATAAAAATACGCTGGGCTCCCCAAAATATGTACAAATAGTATGTATTAATAAAAATATACTTTAAAAAGTATCTTTACGCAGGAAATGTGGGCATTTGCTCAGACGCAAGGAGGAGAGGCCAAGATTTCTCCCATGATCTACAGCATTTCCTGACTCTCCCTATGTCCCTGCATTGCTTTACTCCCCAGCCCTGGGGACATGTGTACTTGCCAGCAATCCTAGCCTCTTGTTTTTCCACAGCCCTGCAGCCTGCTGGCTTCCATTGCTCCTCAGTCTGCCAGCAGGGGAGTGGGTGGTGACCCAGAATAAGGTGGGGGTTGTGTAGGTCAGGGAGAGGCAGGGGAGAGCTTGAGAGACAGGACTTGGCATGGAGAGCTTTAGACAGCAAAAGTCGTGCCTCAAGGAAAAGATTTTAAGAGTATTCTGTGAAGGATCTGATCATTCCAAGACGACAGACCTGAAGAATCCAAGAAACTCTCCAGTGAAGACCCCAGTTAACAAATGAGTAACTTGGAGGAAGCCAAGTTGCTTGCACTGATTGGATAGGGAAAGGTAGAGAAGGAAACTTTAAAAAATTATCATTAATAGTCTCAGAGAGAGAAAAGAAGATAATTCATCCATAAAACAAAAATGTGGTATTATTTTTGAGAAGCAGAATTTAGACAACACAAAGGAGCTCTTGGAAATTAAAAATATAACAAATTAAAAACAACAATAAAATCATGGGAGACAAAATTGAAGAAATTTGCCAGAAAATAAACCAAAAAATACAAAGATGAAAAATGGGAAAGAAAGTATCAAAAAATCAGAGGTCTAATCTAGGGGATCCCACATCTGAATAACTGAGGAAAAAAGGAGGGAATCATTAAAGTAATAACTATGAAACCATAATTCTTTCAAATGTATAGGATTGAGTTTTTAGATTAATGCCTAGATCATTTAAAAAATAAACTGAAAATAATGTTCATTATTGCAAAATTTCAGAACACTGGGTTCAAAGAAAAATCGATAAAAAAGGAAACAGGTTTACTCCACGGGATCAAGAATTACAATGGCGTCAGATTTTCAACAGTAACACTGAAAGGGGAATGGCAGTGAGACAATAGCTTGAAAATTTGGACACAGAAGTATTTTCAGCCTAGAATTCTGTGCAAACTGTCAGTGAAGTATGAAGGTAAAATTACCATTTTCAGATGCACAAGGAGTTGAAAATTTTGCCTGTGTTACATTCTTTCTCAGGAAGATACTTGAGGATATACTCCACTAATACTCAAGGAATATACCAAGGAAGAGAAGACAAAGAAACCAGGTAACAAAATCCACTACTGGAGAGAGGTGAAGGAAATTCCCAGGATAAAGAAGAGAATCCAGGGATGACAATTGTGCATCAGGCTGGGAAAGTAACTTGCTAAGCCAGCAGGCTAGAAGTCTCCAGGAGAGATTTAGTAAAGGAGATAAAATTGTTAGTTAGAATACCAAATGTGTTTAAGTGGACTTAAAAGATGGGAAAAGAATTTGGTGTTGAATTAGTAGTGGCCACAAAGAAAACCAAACAAAGGAAAACAAACTGACAAACAAAAGAACTAGATTATTACTAACACCAGGAAAAACAAATTTTTGTGCAGGGGAAAGAAAGGTATTCATAGTAAACTTTATAGCTCAGCTGTAAATAATATTTACATGGTCATAATAATTTAAACATTGAATGTTGATGTAATTTAAAACAAAACAAAACAAAAAATACCTCTTTATGTGATAATGCTGTAGCCAAGCTCATTCCAGGACCAGCGTCCTGGATCAATGGTTCATTCCAGCCCCCAACATTTCATAGAAAGTAAGCATCAGGTTCACTGAGATGATGGAGTGTGTTAAAGGGCTTTTTGACTCTTTGTGCAATGTTCTTTTCCCTGAGCTACATGATTAATACATTAAATTACTGTAATTAGCTTGATTATTTGTGACTTTCGAAACACTAAGTCACATAGGTTCATCATCATTTTCATATTGAAGATAATAGTGGTACTTCCTCCAAGGGTATGGAAAGTTAAAAAATAGATGTAGCTTGGTAAAGCCTTGTGTTTTGGCATCTGAATTGCAGTGCATGGAAGCAGACAACCCTTATTACTATGTTGGTTTCTATGGGAGGCCACTCATCTAATTATGCATTGGGTTTTCCTCACTGTTTGCTGAGAGACAAGGGTCTCCTCCAGAGTTGCTTTAGGATATGAACTGCAGGTGAAATTATTCTCAAAAAATTCGGACTATGACATAGTGACAGATATGTCATGGGTATTTCTGTTTGATATATAAACATTTTTTCATGTGGTGATGTTTATTGTCACTTAAATCTATGAATATAAAAATGAAGAACATAAAAATAATATTTACTAAGTTAACAGCTGTTCATAATGCTGTGCTAGATATTAATTGTTTTTAAAGTTGATCTTCACATCATCTTAGATTGTTGGGAAAATATAGACAAAAAACCTCAACTGAGCTAAAATAAGACATTGTAATAGTTCTTTATAAATTTATGGAGATAGGAAAACCAGGTGAGATAAGCTATTGTCTTTAAAAAGAGCATGTCCTTTTAGTAACACAGAAGCTCTATGTTTGCTAAACACTTCACAGATTATTAAATGTTCAGAATGTGATGAATACTTAATTTTTATTATGGTGAACAATAGGAAAAAGCAGTGATCAAATCATTTTGCTTCTAAATTTAGCAATTTTGACTTTTAGTTTCATCATTCTGCAGCATGACAGTATATATAAACATTTTAAACATTTATCTAGGATTCTAAAACTGTACATATTTTTCTTTGTTGATATTTTGTATATAATTGTGTATTGTAAAAATGTGGATATCCTGCACTTAAGAATTGTGGAGATTGTTCCTTAGTGAGACTTGGGTAGAATTTCAGGCATTACAATGGTAATGTATCCTGGAAGAATGAAGGGGAGAAAAAAAGAACAAATGGAACTACACATAGCTCCTGATTTCATAGTAAAACAATATAATTTTGTACTAATTCTCAGCAAAACATCTATGAAAGTTGTATTTTTCTTGATGCGTATTTCTTGTAAGCCCTGGAATAGACTCATTTTAAAAAGCCAGTGTTAACTAAATTTCTACTCACTTTGCTACTTTAATTGCTTACAAAATGTGTCTATTATCAGTATGGCATTCTGAAATAAATATTCACTAATAACAAATGGTTTATTTCTAGCATAATATCAATTTTTGACAAAGTAATTTTAGCAATTAATTAGAGGATGATTTAAAACCTGAATCAAAAGCCTGAGGACATTGGCCCTGTTATAAATATTTATGATGATTAAAGGCATTGCAACCAGTTTGTAGATGGTGATAATAGGTATGTGGGAAACTGGTTAGAATATTTTTGGAAAGGTAGTTGAATTCCCCACTCCCTTTAAAGACCATTCACTGTGAATTATATTGGGTTTGAGCTATCATAGTTGAATATAGAACTTGTATTAATTCTTGATTTTATAATTCTCAGTGGTCTACAGATTGACCATTGCACTTTCACAAATGACTATAATGGTCTAAATTTCATCCTTTATTCAGTTTTTCATGTGTTCTTTAAAAATTGATAAGCATGAGAGACTGAAAATTAAGATTCATGAAAAAAAGATTAATTGATGCTGTCTCCAGCTGATGTCCAGAAATGTAGATGTTTGAATCTTATTACCATGATGAGATTGAATCTTCCTGTGTTTTTATGTAATGTACTTCCATTTCTGTTATCATAATGACTTTTCTAGAAGGTTCCCTGCAAAAACACATTTGCCCTTTTTTTGTGAACAATTGAAAATGACCAAAGTAATTTTGAACTTCCTGCCTTATTCTCTGAAGTATCCGCAATCCTATTGGCATAAAGCTGATTCTTATTTTTCATTTCAATAGATATATTAATTAAAAGGATAGGAGGTTTATTATGGCTGAAAACTTGCTATTTTTCTTTAATAGACCAGAGAACAAGCAGGTGTATAACAGACAGAATTATGCTATGCCAAATTAAGATTGTATTATACAGATGGCACTGAGAATTGATTTCTAAATGAGACTTTCTAATGTTCAGATAGAAAACCAAGTGACACCTGACTTTCTCCATATTCTTCATTAGAGCTTCTCATTTAGCTCCTAATAATTTCCTACTACACATGACTGTGAATATTATAGAGCCTTTCCTCATTCTGTATTTTAATTAAGAAATATGATTATTTCATGAGGCCATTAAAGAATATTTTAAAAATTTGACACCAAGTCTCAGTGTCTGTCCAGGCTTTTTTTGAATGTTTTCATCCTATTTTTATTATAATAAAATAATCTTCCACATCTAGAAAGTGGAAGACTAATGATAAAAGAAAATGAAGTTCCACGTGTCAGCTCTTATTGTGTTAGACATTCAGAGGGGATCTGAGTAGTGAATTTTCTGGTTAAGATATGGGGTCTGCATTTAGTTGTTTAGAACATGTCTTTTGCATCCTCAGGATCATCCGCTGATTTGTTCGTAACAATTTGGATCCAGCAAAAGAATTAAGGCCAGCTAATTAAACAGTACACTCTTTCCTAGAGATCCGTTAAAACCCAGATTGAAAAGGAATCACCCCAAAGAATGATGAAATGCAGACAATGATTGGAAGTGTTACATGATGCTTTAATTGTAAGTTACCCAACTTGGGAGTTCCCATTAAGAATAGGGGAAACACCCTCCTGGGCTTTACACTCGTCACCTTGCCTCTCTCCAGTTTAAGATGGATCTGCACACGACCCCTTTGTTTCCATGTTTTCCAAGACAGACATGAGACCCCAGAGGGAAATAAGTTCAAGTAGTAGAGTATACACATATTGTCTTGGATAGGCACAGCATTCCTGTGTCCAGCCAGTACAGCTCTAGGTATTTTCTCGTTCCTGTATAAATTTCTGTTACTTCAGACCCCTCTGAGAGGATGGAGAAAGAGGTTTGTTGATCATACGTATCTAAATTCACAAGTTGTTAAATGTTACATCCTATTTGAAATTAGTTTTTCTTTGGTATAACTTGTTTTTGTGATTTACTCCAAGGCTTTTAAACTCAAGATCTATCACCTTTGTCAATTTTTCTATCCACATCTCTCTCTTTTTAGTTATACTAGCCTTCTCAGTTGATATTAAGATAATTCATTTTGATTGAGTATCTAAAATGTTACTTTAGTCAGAAAAACCATTTAAACTCTGAATATTGATTCGTTTTCATTTTGTATAAAAAAGAATGGCCCTGTAGTTGGGAGAGAGTAGCATAAGTTCCCAAATGAAATTGAGTAGGAAGACCTACTGACTCTCCATTTCCCAATTTGGATTTTGTGCTATTTCTGTATAGTTCAGAAAAGCACTTATCAGTCAGGTCAGCCCTATAATTCTGGCAGACAGAAACTTGACAATGACAGAGTAAGATTATGTTATTTGAATTTCTTAGAACAGTTCTTTCAGTTTTTCTCTTGGAAAATTATGTTAGATAGCTATTAAATCCAACAGCTTGTCTTTAACAGTTTCTGCTCACCTAGGGAATATTTCTAATACTAATTTTAGGCAGATGCCCACCTTTATTAGGAAGACCCAGCCCCACCCCCCACCCCCGCAACATGCTTCACGGTATATACAAAGCCCAATAACTTGGAAACCTACTTACTGTACTAGATCTTCTTTTACAGAACTTGACAAAACAAAGATCAGTCACACTAGCCTCACTTGACTTATTATAAGTCTCCTAGCTCTAGATCCCATGGCTTTAAACTGCCTGCTCATTGTGGGCACCTCCATACCGGAAACACCACCTTGCTTGGTATCCACCATTGCCTTGAAGTAGAAAGAGAGTGTGGAATGGAAGGCCAACTTACTTGGTAAGCTAAGCAGTTATTTCCCCAGCAGCTTGCCCATGAACCTGAAATTCTCATTTTTTGAGTTATTTCTCTCCAGAAAGTTCTCATCTTTAGGAAAAGCATATTAATGTTCAAAGATCTTAAAGAATGTAAATTAAATTGTTACATTATCTAGAAATGACAAAGCATGTTACTTATGTCAGAGTCTTAGGGATTGTAACTAAAAAAGCAGAAAGAAGAATGGAAGAACTCAAACAGGGCAAAACAGTGGCAAGACAAACTCCTCCAGCTACTCAAATTTTCCAAGAACTGGATCTTTAAAATATATATTGCAAAAAAATACACGTGGAAGGACTGATGCCTTAGCATGAATGCTTGTGTCTTATACCATCCCAGTAGCACACTTAACACTGTCAAGTATGTCCAAAGTGACACATAAATTATACTGTAATGTTGAATAGCTAGGGTTTTATTTCTCTTTTTTTATATCTCTGTATAACCGTCTAAGTATTCTTTAAAAATTCAGTACTTTGAATTGCAATGATGCTTTGTAAAATAAAACGATTTGGGTGTACATTGCATTAAAAATTAAGATTTAATATTTGCATTAGCTGTTTTGAAACTCAACTAAATGGAATGAATCATGATGAATCATTTTGTGGCTTTTAAAAATTGAAGACCTAGTATTGCAGTTAAACCATTATCTGATGCATATTACAAAATATTTTGACATTGACTGCATATAATTGGGATTTTAACTAATTATTTTTAACTTCTAGGAAGTTGGATATGTGGGTAGTTTAAGGTTGTGCAGTCTATGGGTTTTTAAATGATACGGCGTTAAATATGGAACATACTATTTGAAGTATTTATTATTCATGTATAACTTTCATTTATCTACCAGTGTCATATTTTGTAGCTTTAGGTTCACATAGTATATAGCTATTTTAATTAAATAGTATGCTTGCCTTTTTGGATAGCAGCCCTCTTAATTGTAGTGTCAGAGTAAGACAAAAAATGGGTTCAAATATCAGCACTCTCTCTTACTTACTATGTGTTCCTTTGGCCAATTCACTTAATTCCTCTTTTTTTAAAAAACTTTTAAGTTCAGGGGTACATGTGCAGGATGTGCAGGTTTGTTGCATAGGTAAAGGCATGTCATGGGGGTTGGTTGTACCGATTATTTCATCACTCAGGTATTAAGCCTTGTATCCATTGGTTATTTTTCCTGATCCTCTCCCTTCCCCCACCCTCCACCCTCTGGTAGGCCACAGTGTGTGTTTTTCCCCTCTCTGTGCCCATGTGTTCTCATCATTTATCTCCCAAGTATAAGTGAGAAGATGTGGTATTTGTTTTTTTCTTGCTATGATACTTTGCTGAGAAAATTCACTTGTCTGAGGCTTTCTTTCTTTTTCTGTGAAATAGGGATAGTAACATCTACCTGGCAGAGGTGTTGTGAGGGTTAAATTATTGAATGTGTATAATACACTTAGCAAAATGTCTATCGTAGTAAGCACTCAATAAATGGTAGTGATTCAACTCCAGTTGTTTAATTTATAAAATCTCTTCCATTTCTGTTATTCATAAAATAATGGAATGATGTAATTTAACAATGTGAAATGGTTAACAAAGATATCTAAGACTTAACCAACCACTCAACCAACCATGTTTAAGATGAGAAACCTGAGTTATAGAGTATCAACCATGACAAAAGAGTAGCATAATTATCTTTCTAAGACATTACTGCTGTGTTCTAAATGGTAGGACCCATTGCTAATGACTCCTATTAGTAGATTTCTTAATCTTCTGAAAGCCCTGAGAGACCCCGCACATTCCTTAAAAGAAGTTGACACACGCCCTGAAAAATCTACAAGATATTCACCACGCTTCATCTCAGATTAAATTGAACCGCATATATTAAATAATCTGTGTATTTCTGACCATTCATGGAGCAGGACACCTCTAGACACTGAGAAAAAGAGCATCTGACCTCACCTATTTAGACTTCGGTGAGAGGGACTGGTTATAATGCTTCTTTCTTACTGCAAGTGTCAGTAGTTCTGAGCAATAAACATAACATTGAATCCAATAGTGTGTGCTTTATATCAACTTACTTTAAAAGTTGTGATAAAATACCATTAATTAATTAATTAATTAATTTTACCCACTTAAATTGTGAAGAGTTTCAGAAGGGAATAGAGGAAGTGTTAAGGGATACTCCCAAGAAGTATATGCCATGGCACTGAGAATATGCTGCTTCCTGCTGGGGATGCCAAGACAACTGGCTAAAGATAGCTCTGCTGCTGGCAAAAATGTCCCTGTTCATCGTTTCATTACTATTTAAGACAATTTCTCATTGGATTTTTATTACAGAAAATGAACATATTCAAACTGGAATATAAATCTTCAGTGATCCGACTGATGGATTTGGGATGAATCTCCTTTTATAAAGATGGAATAGAATATCCTGAGATGGCAAAATATTCTTAGGAAGATCTTATGGCTACTATAGTAGAAAGATAAAGAGTTTCAAATATATTAATTTATCTAGTTCAGCACGTGAATTTGTCTTCTCTCATGTTATCTATTTCTAAGATTTTGAATGGCAAAGACAGAAATTCAAGAATCATGTGCTTATTATACTATATGCTAATTGAGGCTTTTACAAACTTTGATTCACTTAATAAAAGCACTTTGATTGTATTGGGTGTATAACTACTCATCCATGCATTTATTCAGCATCAACCTCATTTAAGATAATGAGGTGTGGTGGAAAATTCACAAGAGCTGTGTGATGGTTGGATGACTATGTTTCTTACATCTTTAGAGCTTTAGTTTTCTCATTTGTTTAAACAAAAGGAAAAATACAGGATGGTAGCTGGAAAGGATTAAGTAATTTGTTGGGGGTTTTTTGTTTTGTTTATTCATTTGTTTGTTTTTGAGGCAGAGTCTCACTTGGTCGCTCAGGCTGGAATGCAGTGGTGTGATCTCAGTTCACTGCAATCTCCACCTCTCGGGCTCAAGCGATCTTCCCACCTCAGCCTCCCAAGTAGCTAGGACTGCAGGCACATGCCACCATGCCTGGCTAAGTTTTTCTATTTTTTTTGGTAGAGACATAGTTTTGCCATGTTGTCTAGGCTGGTCTTGAACTCTTGAAGTCAAGTGATCCATCTACCTCTGCCTCCCAAAGTGTTGGGATTACAGTTGTGAGCCACTGCCCCGGGCCTGATTAAGCTATTTATATAAAATTATTCTTTAAATTAGAATAAACTTTCAGTAAGTATTAGTCTCCCTTCTTTTCTTTTTAGTGCCTGAGATTCCAATGGTGTTTACCAGGTTTTATTAGCAAAGCTGATTCTTATGCTTTAGAAAAAGAATGTGTGTGGACCCCTCCCTGGTGGCCCTTCTTGTTCTCACAGGGTCTTCTGGTTTTTCATAGAAGATCAAGTATAGCTTGCTGTGTGTTTTATACAACAACCAAGAGAAGTGATTTTCTAAAAAATTTAAATTAGAAAGTTAGGGACTTGCCTATTTGTCTAGAAGAACTCGCTAAAGCTTGAGTTTTAAAGACATTCCAAGGGTAGTCCATGGGGCATTCCATTGAATTCAGTAGGGTGGCTGCTTCCTTAGAGCCTTCCCACCCCTATCTGCCAGTGTATATTTTGTTAAGGATGTTAAAATGTTTTTTGTAAATGTAGGGATCAAGGGAAAACTACCCCTTCACCCTCTAAAAGTTCATAGAAAAATTAACTCACAAAATGCACATTGATTTGAGAAAAGGCACAAACTTATTTTAATGTGCATAGCACAAGGTCATCATAGAAGAATAGTTACCCAGTAACCCAATGTGAATAGATGTTTATATATTCTTATTAGGAGAAAGGGAAATGGGGATGTATGAATGCTTTTAGGGGTGTGGTAAATGATTTTTAAGGAAATTCAGTGGGATTGAAGAATATACGAGAATATACGTCTGTTGGGCCTGCAGAGCAGAGAGTGGTTTGTGACAAAAGTCTGTCCAGGTGTGTTGACAGACTTCAGTCTTTCTTCCTAGGATAAGAGTTCAGTTAATGGAAACTCAGGAAAGGGGCCAGAGGTAATTGTTTTCTTCTTTGGCAGGTCCAGATTTTAGGCAGATAAGGGGACTTCAGAGAACAACTTCATCCTGTGCTTTGGGAGAGACAGAGGGTTGAGAGACGGGGCAGAGACGGGGAGTGGGGCAGAAGGTCAAAGAGACCTTCAAGCTTCTTCAGTTCAGCATGTCAAAGTGCCATTTTGAGGGTATCAGTTTCTTTGAGCTCCAGCATAAAAGTTTTCTAATGGTTTTCAGAAGGTTGATCGTCCCCTTGCCACAGTTAATTTAATGAGGCTGAGTTGGTAGGTTTACAGCTTCATATATTGTCTTTCTCGGAATTTATGTTATACCTGCTTGCTTGGTCTTCTTAGTGTTTTCCTTCAGGATGTTAAGGGGTTTGTCATAACATTTTAACTTCTGTGTCTACTGAATGCTCAACTCGTTCCTTTTGAAATTTTACAAGTAATGAATTCTGTTTTCAGAGTGACAAGTTTCTTGTGATTCGTTCCCTTCTCTTCTTGTAACAGCCAAATCAATTCTTCTACTTTTTAAAATTGTTGTTAGATCCACCCTTTTCTGTGCTTTCAGTATGCTCAGTTTGCGTTGCTGTTAAAATACAGACCTCTAAGTCACAATGATTTGTTTGTGTGTCTGTCACACTGAGTTAGCTGTGAGTTCCTCAAGTCTAGGGACCACATCTTATATCTTATTCCTCTTGGCATCCCTCTTGCATAACAGCACCTAGCACATATGGTTGGCACTTAATAAACCCTAAGTGAATTTATGCTGTGGAGATTTGTTCTTACATTTGTTTGGGGCTGTATTTGTCATGTTTGGGGCTTAATTTGTCATGTATACACTTAGAATTTTAGTGTATAGTGGCATTTTTTTCTCTAGTACTGCTTTTTAAATCTCCTTTAATATGGCATCCTATTTGAATAGCTTCTACGTTAGCGTGAGGATTATATATTTTCACTAATTAGTAAAGGTATTAAGTAATAGTTCTTTGGAACTACTTGATTTACCTATGTCTGCCCTTAGCTTCTCGAGAATTCCATTCCAAGGCGCCTGTTATTTGCTTTTATCTGCTGCCATCCAGATGTCTCTAAATTCAGGTCAGTACTCACATTACTGGTGTAGGAGTACCACCTATTACCCGAGTATATAAAGATAGTTAAAGCAGACAGCTTAGATAAGTATCATACTGTGATAGACATATGCAGAGGCTGCCCTGGGAGCATGGAGAAGGAGCACCTTACACAGACCTGAAGGGGTACAAGGGCTTGCAGGGGTGGTCAGGGAAGGCTCTAGGGAGGAGCAGTTCCTGAGGAGAGACCTAGGAATGCATGGAAAATAGTAGGCAAAGGGAAGAGAGGGCTTTTCTGGCCGAGTAGAGGCAAGGATAATAGCTCACGCCTGTAATCCCAGCACTTTGGGAGGCTGAGGCGGGCAGATCATGAGGTCAGGAGATCAAGACCATCCTGGCTAACATGGTGAAACCCCGTCTCTACTAAAAATAATACAAAAAATTAGCTGGGCGTGGTGGTGGGTGCCTGTAGTCCCTGCTACTTGGGAAGCTGAGCCAGGAGAATGGCATGAACCCGGGAGGCAGAGGTTGCAGTGAGCTGAGATTGTGCCACTGTGCTCCAAAAAGTACAGGGTTGGAGAACAGCATGCTGAGTGTTGAGGTAGGCAAGGTTTCTTGGAGCCGGGGAATATAGAGTAACAATGCCTGAGCCTGCACCCCCCAAAAAATAATGCCTGAGCCCCTCAGTTGGAATCAGTTCTCAGTTCAGTGGCCTTGGAGGCCATGTTATTAGATGCCCAGATATTTATTCTGTTCATTGGAGGAAGCAGTTCTCTAGAAATACTTTGCCTACTGATGTTGATTTCTGGCCAAGATGATGAGTGAGATGGTGAGATGGTTAAGAGCATAGAATTTGGAATCAGACTCTCTGGGTTTGAGGCCTGGCTCTGCCACTTAATTGCTGTGTGATCTTGAGAAACCGCACTCAGTTTCCTCATTACTAATATGGAGGTTAATAGTAGTACCTACTTCATTAAAATTGTTTGAACGTCAAATGAAGTAATATTCTATAAACTACATGGAATAGCAGTTGGCACATAGTGTTATGTATTCATTAAATTAAAATGCATTGCCATGGTTAAACACTTACATTCTGATAAGACTCTGCTAGATCCCAAAGATCAGGTAGCATTTTGCAGAATGGCAAACTGTTTCCTTTCAAAATCAACTTATTTTTAAAATTAAGTTTGTTATGTGGTTTGCCTTCGTGTTTTTATTTCGTTTTTTTAAAAGGCTTTGATAACACAAAGTGGCTTTATTTTTCCCTCTTTCCTTCTAAACTAAAGGAGTATGAATTTTCTTAGAAGTTGTAAGCTTTAGGCTTCAGGATGCAGGGAGTATTGGAAGTGAAGAATGAGGCTGGCAGCTGCTAGTGATGGTGTGAACTCAAGTCTTTCTGTTTGTTGTATAAGAAGCGTTGAGAGGACAAATCCAGAGAGATGTTTGCATCCCGAGATTCTTGAGTTAGTCTTTTAATCTTGACCAACACAGATCAGACTTCTACTTTCTGCTGCCTAGACTCTCGAAATAATCATCTCAAGCCTTTACTGCCCCATACATATTCTCGCATACAAAGATTTTGAGATTAATTAACTTTACTGTTATTTCAAGGTATCCCCTGTAATGAAATTCACTTGGCTTTCAAAGCCCCTGCTTAGTCAGAACATTCCAGAGATGCCACTGTCCAGGGCCCTCAGGAAGTTGCCAATCTTTTCGATTCAAGTTTCAGAATCTTTCTATCATTCGTCTTTTACAACTCATTTAAAATTGCCCTGAAACTGCCTTTGGTTACTAACTGGTTATATAGACTAGAATATTGGTGGCACTTAAAAGTAAGAACATTTGTTTTTGTTTTAGGAGATTGATTTTAAAAAATATCAATTAGGATTATTTTGGCAAGTAAATTGTTTAAAAATATTCTCTTTTTCATAAGAAGAATATTGGGAAGCCTAGTGAATCACACTTTTTTGTTATCAAAATAGAAACATTTGGTATGATCCAATATTAAACTTCACAGAAAAGGCTATTAATCACTTCTGAAATTATTTCTTCCAAAAGTATTACTCTCGAGTTCTTGACTTTCCTGTTGTGTTTCCTTTCCCTTTAGGATGGGTTTGCTCTGAAATTAGTGAAGGTGGTACATGTCTGTCTTTAAGCAGCAGCCTAATCTATATGACCATATGTGCAAAAGCAGTATAATTATAATGTAGTATTAATTAGACAATATGACTGTTTTTGTTTTAATTATTTCAGATCATCTTATCTTTCCATTCCTTAAAGCATGTTAATGGATGAATTTATGGGTACCATGTTCATGTTGTTTCTATGGAATTAAATATGTGCATATTGATATAAACCCTTGGTAAACAGTTCTTTTTTTAATCTCTATAATATTATGAATAGATTTCCTCTCCTTTCAAACATCATTTTAGTCCTGAAGACTAAATCAATTATAAAAAAATTGATTATTTACATTTTGCTTAAAGAACGCTAATTGGAGTACAGATCTCTCTGGCTGAGGGAGAATCACTCTCGGGTTGATATAATAGGTTGTTAGAAATTCCTAGATTTACTTCTAAATGAATTAGGAATTTACATACTAAAATCTCACATTCTGTTGAAATAATTTGGTAGAAAATTTGGTGATGGTTACCCATTTTCCCTAAATATTAATACAAGTACTTAGCAGACTGTATGTAGAAACTGGCATTTATCTGTGTTCTGATTTTAACCTTTGTCTCCTTATTTTTCAGTTGTTTTTATTTCAGTTGCTGCGAGGTCTGTCTTACATCCACCAGCGTTATATTTTGCACAGAGACCTGAAACCACAGAACCTTCTGATCAGTGACACGGGGGAGTTAAAGCTGGCAGATTTCGGTAGGAAAGCAGTTAATTACCAGTCTATTTTGTCATACTGTGAGAATGCCAGGCAGATGGTGGCACTGCATTTGTTTAGGTGCACTTCTTCTATCATCATAGATCCTGGTAATTTTTTTTTTCTGAAATGAAGGATTTTTTCTTTTTTTTAATGATAGCATAAAATATAATGCTTTGTGGAGTTTTATAAAATTCAGACTGCTTGTTAGAGTCTTTAATAATAAACATAAATCAGATCTTGGTAATATATATTTCCAAAGGAAAAGTCAGTAAAATTTTGAACATAAAATATATGCTCCTTGAGTGAAAATCTATTTTTTGAAACTTTTATTATGAAAATGTCAAATATACTCAAAAGGAAAAAAATAATATAATGAACTTCAATTACTCATCAACCAGCTTCAACAATTACTAATATTTTGCCAAACTTGGAGAAACCTAAATTTGAATGTCTGGACCTTTTCAGAGGGTTGCAGGAGATACACAATAATGTACATTGCCCTGAGGCTTTAATAACTAGAAATCTAGATGTAGTGTTAACCTTCCCAGAATTGACTGTTGTTTCAAGTATTTTCAATATCAGTGCAAAAATAGACACTTATTACTATTTAAAAGTTGAGGTTCTGGAATGAGCATTATAAGTCATTCCTTCCTTAGAAGTCTTGAGATTGTCTTCTTCCAGCATAGAAGCTTTCCTCCAAACACCATGTTTGAGCATCCAAAGGGAAGCACAACCATTGCATGCTCCTTGCTAGCTCCCCTTCTCTTGATCAAGGTTGACGTTTCTGCATTGCCCAGGCTCTCTGTCACATTAGAGATTGTGTTGAGTTGATTCTGAGCACCACGGGATGCCTGATGGCAGCATAACGTGTTGACATTGCATTGCCTCAATTATTTTTGAATACATATTCTGATTAGAAATTTGTTCTATTAAGAATGGAATGAAAATATTACCCTTGGGACATAAAGATGCCTGAGGTTGAGATGGGCTTTTGCTGAAATATGATTATCTTTTTCCTCTCCACCCCCCATTAAATAAAAGAAGGCAGGAAATGTTTATTTATTTCAAGGTTAGTAGACTGTTGAATACCTTTGGAATGAATCTACTTTGTTGGGTTTTATAAATTCTTTTATTCGAAAAATGAAATAAAACAAAAGTTAGTATGACTAGTTGAGTAGTGATATAGATTATAAAACTTTGTCATTTCCTACTTTGATAAAAATGATGAAATTCTGTGCACATTAGTTTGTGTGTATCATTTATTGCCAGATTTTAACATTGGAATTACACTAGGTGGCTGGGTATAAAATCTTTTTATAATAGGGTAGAAAATAATGGGAGAGTAGTGGGTGGAGGAGAGAAGGTTTGCAGTTTCTCAAATTCAAGATTATTGGCTTTACTGTGAATATATTTTATAGTTGGTCAGTGTCAGGAAATGAAAAAGGATTTATAATGATTTTCTTATGGTGTGTTAATATACTGTAAGGTATATGTTGAAATACATTATTGAGCATTAATTGTATGAACATGCATTTGTCGTATATTTATAAAAAGCATTTTTATAAATTTTGTCTGTATAACCAAGGATACAATAGGATTGTATGTTTGTGCTTACTAGGGATTCTTTTTAAATTTTATGCTGATGTTTTCATTGTAGTAGGTAAGTTTATCTTAAAAGATTCTTATGGATCTTTACTTTAAAACTGACATTTTAAAATATCAGATTCAAAACCAAATTGAAATATAATTTTTTAAAATTTAGATGATTTTTTTAGAAAATTAGAAAATGTACAAAGTATAAACAACTCAGAGATGACAAATGATAACATTTTTCTCGTTTGTTTTCCCAGTAGCTTTCTCCTGTTCCTTTCTCTCATTCCTTGCTTCACTTGCATATCACATAGCCTCAAAAATAGAAATATACTATTTTGTAAGCATTTTTCAAATAATATGTCATGAACATTTTCTTATTTTATTAAGATTGACAAAATCATTTGTAACGGCTTAGATTTTTTTCATTAATGGCCAAACCTAGTCTCTATTCAGTCTCTTATTAATGAGCATTTTAGCTCTTTCTAATTTTTCACTATTATGCTCAGTCCTGTACTGAACATCCTTGTAGAGATAGCTATTGATACAGCAATTGCAATGTTGAGTGTTTTAAAGCATTTGGTTCTTATGACCAGACTGCTGTGCAGAAGGATCGTGCCCATGCACCTCTCCTCAGAGGCATGGACTGAATTGTCCAGCTTGGAACACGCAGTTGGCATGCATCCTGTGCACAGAGTGTAGTGAGCAAGATTCATTCACCAACTGACAAGTTCCCCCAATTAATTGTGTGATTTTTTTTGTCTTTTAATTTAAGACATGCAATTAACTGTGATTTACTGTGTTTGGGCATGTTTGTGTGTCTGAGATGAAGGAAACACACTGAAAACTGTAGAGAAATCAGACAGAATAGGATGGTTCCAGGCAGCAAAACAATTAAAAACACAAAGGTCTTAATTCAGTGTTTGATGTGTGAAGAGCTTTAAAAATGGTTTCTTTGTCTTACCTTTTTTCCTTATGTGAACAAAACCGTAAATTTTTGACTAAAAGAGACAAATACAAAGTATGATTGTAGTTCTCATATTGTAAATGATACTACTTTTATTAGAAAAATATATGAGGGAAAAGACTAAAATTTATTGAGTTTATTCTATATGCTACACACTTAGAAATTCTTGCTTCATTGTCTCTTCAAGCTAGGAATGTATACTAACCTGTATTTTTGAGAGAGATGAGATTCAGAGAGGGTTAGAATCTTGCCCAGGCTTGGACATACAGGTTGCTGGTTGCAAAGCTGGAATTCAGATGCTTGATTCATATCCTTCAATCTCAGGTGGCCCAGGGCCTTTATATTTATACATATAGATATTTTCTCTTACAGGGCTGCCTAAGCTAGGAAATTATTGATCGTTTTTGTATGCTGTTTTCTATATATAACAAATATGACACCCATGCTTTATAAATAGATTACACTGGTACAAAAATATGCATCACATAATTTAAAGAACACTTTGTCATTTGACTAATTCAGTAGTAATGAGTGAGTTCAACCTTAGTAGACTTTACCTGCTGGATGAGGTAAACCAGATGATAGTGAATTTGGAGACCCTTCAGCTTTAAACAGTATACAGCTCTGAATTCCAGGTAGTCAAAATGCTGTAACTATTTTTTTTTTCTGGTAAGCAAAGTCGTATTTAAACCCTTACCTGAGCCTTATTTTCTATATGCATTTTGAATAAGTAAATTACACATGATTTAGAATCACTGTGGCTTTCCTAATGCAGAGGTTTGCTCTGCCTGGATATAATAAAATGATAAAATTATATGGAGGCATTCAGACTCATTTCCTAAAAGATGGTTCATCTTTACATAATTTACCAGAAAAGATTTCAAATCCCTTTTATAGCCCGTGTCCTCACCACCTTGTTGCTCCTTGTATACTGTGGTGCAGCCAAATCCCAAACTTCTTTCCACTAGAGGCTTTCAGTTTGCCTTTCCTTTTGCTTGGGATGCTCGTCCTTCTGCCTCTCATGTGGCTGCCTGTTTCTTACCATAGAAGTTATAGTTCATGTCACCTCTTCAAAGGGGCCCCCTTTCTGAAAATAGAATCTTTCCCATTATTATCTTCTAGTCTAATTTCTTCAATAACACTTCCAGGGCTCTGACATTATTTTTTTCATTTGTTCATCTATTTAGTTTTTGCTTAAACTGCTTGATTGGAAGTTCCGTGAAGGCGGGAACTTGACCTGTTTTGCTCACTGTTGTTTGCACTATCTCTAGAACCATGCTTAGCACATAGATATTCAGTAAATATTGATTGAATGAATAAAAAATATACATGACTAAGTGGAGTATTAGTCATGTCTATACCAAAAGACATCGAGATTAAAGTTGCCCCGAGAATGAGAGACAGCGAGAATTCTATAATATAAGCATTTAAGGACTTAGCTTATTTTATTGACTGTCGTGGTGGAGAAACAAAGTTTAAAAACTCTGTGGTTATAATAGAATAAAATCACATTGGTTTCTTTCCCATCAGAGGTCTAAAATTTTACCTTCCTAATGTTGATAGTTTCTCTTCCAGGCTGGTCCTTGTCTAAATTTGAGAGAGGAAATCATTGTAAATCATGTTTTAGATTAATTTGAAAAACAGACCAGAAACGTGACTCTGTAGAGGACATGGTAAGTTCATGGCTTGTCATATGCTTCTCTGAATTCACATAAGAATAGTAGTAAACAGAAAGAAATCACCTTCTTTCAGATGCAGAGTAGTGTGTCTGTTTGATAAACATAGCCTCTGGATAAAAGCTTGTTAGTCCCGAAGGTACAGACCTTTACCTATGTTTTAAATCATTTATGCACAAAATTCACCATTGAAGTTATAGTCATAAATTTAAGGTTAGATATAACTTAGCTCATTTGTTGTGGCCTGCCGGATTCAATTTTACTGTATCTTTCTTTTAGAATATATTTTTAATAGCAAAAACAACTTTATTACCCAATGAAGCATCAATCTACTTCTAAAAGATCCTTTCAACATCTTAACACCTCAACAGTTTTAAGGCAAAGTTTAGGCAGTTGCTTTCATGTAGATCTGAAAGCAAAGAATGTATTTAGAATAATTGATAATATATGAACCAAAGAAAGGGTTTTTTTTTTCTCTCTAATTTCTCTAGGGAATGTCATTAAAACTCTGAATGCAAGTATACATATTTTAAAATCTATTGAACAGACTATTAAGATTACATGTTAGGTATAATTTTTATTTGACGTGAACTAGACAAAGTTATTTCCCTTTGACACATTACTTTAAAGATATAGTAACTCTTTTGAAAAGGAATGTTGATACTTAAAATTGTCTTTTCCCTATCTTGAAACATCAGTTACCTTAATCATTTACATCTTGTTTAATATCCTGCTCATCTCCTCAAAAGTTTTTATTTTCTATTCAAGGGGAATGATAATGACATCTAATTATATTGGATCTTTTTGTTTTATGTTATCACAACATAACATTGTCTCAAGCATATTAAAATTATAAATATTTGAGAGCATTTTTCCTTTTAGATAAACTTTATTTTTTAGAAGCGTCTTAGGTTCACAGCAAAATTAAACAGAAAATACAGAGAGTTCCTATATACCCGCTTCCCATATGCACAGCCTCCCCCACTATTAACATCTGGCACCAGGGTTATACATGTGTTAAATTGAAAAACCTATATTAACACAGCAGTATCATCCAAATTCCAGAGTTTACATTAGGGTGACATTTGTCAATCACTATAGTGTCATTGATATAGTATCATTGAGAATAATTTCACTGCCCTAAACATCTTTTTTTTTTTTTTTTTTTGAGATGGAGTCTTGCTCTGTCACCCAGGCTGGAGTGTAGTGGCGCCAATCTCGGCTCACTGCAAGCTCCGCCTCCCGGGTTCACGCCATTCTCCTGCCTCAGCCTCCCGAGTAGCTGGGACTACAGGCGCCCACCACCACTCCTGGCTAATTTTTTGTATTTTTAGTAGAGACAGGGTTTCACCGTGTTAGCCAGAATGGTCTCGATCTCCTGACCTCGTGATCTGCCCATTTCGGCCTCCCAAAATGCTGGGATTACAGGTGTGAGCCACCATGCCTGGCCCAACATCTTTTTAAAAACTCATATAGTTTTTTTAAGCTGTAAATGGGAACAAGAAGGATGTATATGAACTGCAACTAATATGCATATACTATTCCATCTATGAGAAATCTCTCTGTTCAGTCACCATAAGCCAGATTGAAGCAATGTAGATAGGGTTTGATTGCTAAGAATGGCAGCTTCAAACTCTATGGAAATGAGGAAATTTGAAAGAGAGTTCAGTTTCAGCCAAATCATGCATGTGAGGTAACGAGACATCTTTTAAATGCAGAACAAATTGCTACGCATAGGACTGATCATCTTATTCTCCACTGTTGATGGAAACTTAGGCAGAGGGATTTCATTATGCAAAAACATCATGTGTTTCTTTTTTCCTGTACAATTTGAGGGCAGAATTGTTGGCAGTAAATCAAATAAGTCATACTGGATGTAAGTTAAAATATAGCCATGTATCCTTAGAAAATATTTGCATATGTAGAAAGACTGGAACCTTAAGTAGCAGCCATGATGAACACAGTGGAAGAATTAATAGGTGTTGTTAACAGTAGTAACACTGAAATGAATCACAGTGGATTTATGTAATACATGTGCTATTGAAGGCAACAGTGATTACACTTGAACATTGTTAACATATAGCTAAGTGTCTTAGTCTGTTTCTTGTTACTTAGAATAACTAAATCTGGGTGATTTATAAATAAAAAAATTATGTCTTATAGAGGCTAAGTCCAAGGTTGAGGGGCTCCTTTTGTGAGGGCCTTCTTGTTAGTGGGGACTCTCTGCAGAGTCCTGAGGCGGTGCAGGGCATCACATGGCAAGGGGGTTGAGCATGCTCATGTAAAGCCACTAATGCCATTTCTGTGATAACCCATTAATACATTAACCCATGAATGGATTGATCCATTCCTGAAGGGAGAACCCTCAAGACCCAAGCACCTCTTAAAGGCCCCACCTTTCAGTACTGCCATATTTGGGATTAAGTTTCAACTTGAGTTTTGGTGGGGACAAACATTCAGTAAGTGTAAACGTTAGCTTAGAGTTTGGCAATTGCCTAATATCCCTGCTTTATAGATCCTGGCCCATCTCTTTCTCTACCTTCTAAAAAGCTCATGTTAAAATTCAGCCCAAACCAGACTCCACTACTATATGTCAATATGCTTGATTTATACTAAAATCTTAGATGACAGTAAATGAATTATTGCAGTCTAAAGCACATGTTTTCTAAAATCTTTACTGGAAGCGAGAAAAACTGACCAGCTACTATGGGAAATGTAAGACATGCTGTAAATTCTGGTTAGACATTTTTTTTTTAATTTGTGATTTTAAACCTTTGTTTCTCACTTTAATACCACCAGTTCAATATTAGTTTTCTTTCTTCCTTTTTTCCCTAGTTTCTTTTTTAAAAAACCTGCCATATGTTGGTTTATTTAGCTTTGAAATAGTACATATTTATGCATATTAGTATTTTAAAATGTCCTTTTCACCTTGAATAATTTCTTCTGTGGTAATAGATAAACTTAGGATATTAGGACTTTTTTCATTTTAATGAAAGAAGAAAGCACTGGAAAATTAAAAATAAAAACCAATTAAGAACTAATGGTCTGTGCTGCTTATTAATTTTCAATACATGTCTGAAAAACTTTTTTTTTATTTTTACCACATACCGGAAAGGAATCTTGGTGCAAATAATCAAGTTTATAGGCCTAAAATAATATAACTTTTTGCAAAAATTCAAACTTTAAAAATGGAACATCTTTCTGTGAAATATCTGTCAAGATATTTGGCACTCTAGTTTTTAATCAGAAAGGATACTGATATAAAAATGCAGATTGAAGTGTTCATTCCAGTTATGGAGTAGAGTTGTCAGCTGTGGAAATCTGTCCTGTGAAACAATGACCGGCTAATATTGGATGTAGAAACTGTGCTTAGATCCAGCCATAGAGTTGGGAGCAGTAGATGAAATGGGTCAGTGAGTTGGCTAAATTAAGTGCCCATATCATGCGAATGGAATAACTGAGGCATAAGCAGAGGATGGAAAACGATGGAAGATTTCAAGATCAAATGTTTAGTATGGTTTCTGAATAGTTATCATTAAGGTCTCAACATGCTTAAAATAAATTGAGAGCATATTGTTATAAGAATCACTGATACCAGAATTACAAGAACAATGTAAAATAAACTGGTTATAGTGGTGTGTGCCTGTGGTTCCAGCTACTTGGAAGGCTGAAGCAGTAGGACTGCTTGAGGCTGGGAGTCCAAGTCTAGCCTGAACAACATAGCAAGACCTCGTCTCTAAAAAAATAATGAAAATAAATAAATAATGACATGTGAGCATTTTGCTCAAAGAATTGAAAGCGGGAGATGGTGTTACTTTTGAAATCATCCAGTTGTTGATAGAATCATATCATTGGGAACATTTTGTTATAGTTTGTTATTCAGAATAAAGGCAGAAGATCTATGTGGGGAAATTAAATCACTCATATAAGAGAAAAGCAAATCCTTTTACATTGACATTTTCAGATTTTTTAAATTGAAATTTTCTCTAGATTTTGAAGGAACCTCAGAGATTATGTAATCCAGACCCCTCATCTGAAAAATATATATACTTTGGGCCAGAGATGGAAAATAAGTTAACATTGTGCCTGTTACTTAGTGTTAAATTATTATTCCTAATATTATTGTTACCAGTGTCTTTAGAGCCCCAGTGTAATACCCTGTAGAGTATTAATAACTTAGTTGGCACATGCATGGCTAGTTCCCCAAACATGTGAGAAGGTAGGAGTGCTAACTGGATGTTCAGGTCGAAGTAAGCCATGCTGGTCTGATGACCTGTGTCACCTGATCACTGGGATCCTGTCAGGAAGATGAGACCCAGAATACTAGATGTCACTCTGTTCCCAACCCCACGAGTCTTGAGGAAACTTTAAGAAATGATACAAAGAATGCTTCTCACAGTAGACTAGTAGGAAACCTTGTTGGAATAAAAGTTTAAATAGAGCTTTGGTAATTTAAGGAATCACCCTCTTTAATTATATTCCTGGGTGAATTAAAGCATTGAGAAGCCTTATGGACAGGTGGAGGCTGAACTGGCTTTAATAATGTTCCTGTTAGGGCTCCGCAGTGCTGGGCAGTAGCTCAAAAAATGCCCTGATGCCTGCCAATGGGAGTAAATTTTCTTTTCAGATTTCACCTTTTCCATGGTACTGTGCTGTTTTTTACTCATAACACTTTCAAATTAACTTTTTGGGTTATTTCCCCACACCAATAACCAATTCACCAACACCTCAGACAGACACCAACTGAGTGTCTAAAGATTCTATTTATTTCTGACACTAACTACGCAGTAGCACAGACCCCTTAGGTTAAGGGCTTAGTCTGCAAGACTACCTCCGCTTTGAATGCCAGTTGCAAGTCCTGGACTGCCTGCATTTCTGACTGACCTGCTACAAATTGGGCATTCCCACGCCCCCTTCCTTGGGTTCCATAGTTTGCTAGAATGGCTCACAGCACTCAGGAACACATTTGCTTATATTTTCTGGTTGACTATAAAGGATACAACTGGGGAACAGCCAGATGGAAGAGATGCATAGGGCAAGGTAGGGAGGAAGGGTGCTCAGAGCTTCCAGGCATTCTCCAGGGGCACCACCTTCCCAGCACTTCAGTGTGTCCACAACCCAGAAGCTCTCTGAACCCATCATTTAGGGGTTTTATAGAGGTTCATAACCTAGATGATTGATTAAATAATTGGCCAGTGGTGACTAACTCATCTTTAGCCCCTTGCCCCTCCCTGGAGGCACATTGGTGGAGTTGCAGATTACAACCCTGTAATCATGCCTTGGTTCTTCTGGCAACCAATCCCCATCCTGAACCTATCTAGGGGCCTGTAGCCACCAGTCATTCTTCTTAGCATTCAGAAAATATACTCTTATCACTAAGATTCCAAGGGTCTTAGGAGCTCTGTGTCAGGAACTGAGGACTAAGACCAAATATTATAACAAAAGATGCTCTTATCACCCCTGTTACTCAGAAAATTATAAGGATTTTAGGAACTCTGTGCCAGGATGAAGACCTGGGATGAAGACCAAATAAATATTTCTTACTAAATCACAATGTCACACAAAGTTTGGAAATAGACAGTACACAGCTGTAGTGCAAGTGGTGGTGTAACAGAAGTACTAAAGTACATATATAAATATAAATATATATAAAAGGTAAAATATGGGTAGGGTGCCGATTCTGCAGCCACATGCCTGAGTTTGAATCCTGGTGAATCTGACAATTACGTGTCTTGGAGTTGCTCTTCTCGAGGAGTATCTTTGTGGCATTCTCTGTATTTCCTGAATTTCAATGTTGGCCTGCCTTGCTAGGTTGGGGAAGTTCTCCTGGTTAATATCCTGCAGATTGTTTTCCAACTTGGTTCCATTCCCCCCGTCACTTTCAGGTATACCAATCAGATGTAGATTTGGTCTTTTCACATAGTCCCATATTTCTTGGCGGCTTTGTTCGTTTCTTTTTACTCTTTTTTCTCTAAACTTCTCTTCTTGCTTCATTTTATTCATTCAATCTTCAATCACTGATGCCCTTTCTTCCACTTGATCAAATAGGCTACTAAAGCTTGTGCATGTGTCACGTAGTTCTAATGCCATGGTTTTCAGCTCCATCAGCTCATTTAAGGACTTCTCTACACTGGTTATTCTAGTTAGCCATTCGTCTAATCTTTTTTTCAAGGTTTTTAGCTTCTTTGCGATGGGTTTAAACATCCTCCTTTAGCTCGGAGAAGTTTGTTATTACCGAACGTCTGAAGCCTTCTTCTTTCAACTCATCAAAGTCATTCTCCGTCCAGCTTTGTTCCATTGCTGGCGATGAACTGCGTTCCTTTGGAGGAGAAGAGGTGCTCTGATTTTTAGAATTTTCAGCTTTTCTGCCCTGGTTTCTCCCCATCTGTGTGGTTTTATCTACCTTTGGTCTTTGATGATGGTGACGTACAGATGGGGTTTTGGTGTGGATGTCCTTTCTGTTTGTTAGTTTTCCTTCTAACAGTCAGGACCCTCAGCTGCAGGTCTGTTGGAGTTTGCTGGAGGTCCACTCCAGACCCTGTTTGCCTGGGTATCACCAGCGGAGGCTGCAGAACAGCAAATATTGCAGAACGGCAGATGTTACTCCCTGATCTTTCCTCTGGAAGCTTCATCTCAGAGGGGTACCTGGCTGTATGAGGTGTCAGTTGGACCCTACTGGGAGGTGTCTCCCAGTTAGGCTACTCGGGGGTCAGGGACCCACTTGAGGAGGCAGTCTGTCCGTTCTCAGATCTCCAGCTGCATGCTGGGAGAACCACTACTCTCTTCAAAGCTGTCAGACAGGGACGTTTAAGTCTGCAGAAGTTTCTGCTGGCTTTTGTTCACCTATGTGCTGCCCCCAGAGGTGGAGTGTACAGAGGCAGGCAGGCTTCCTTGAGCTGCAGTGAGTTCCACCCAGTTTGAGCTTCCTGGCTGCTTTGTTTACCTACTCAAGCCTCAGCAATGGCGACGCCCCTCCCTCAGCCTGGCTGCTGTCTTGCAGTTAGATCTCAGACTGCTGTGCCAGCAGTGAGCAAGGCTCTGTGGGCATGGGACCCTCTGAGCCAGGCGCAGGATGTAATCTCCTGGTGTGCCGTTTGCTAATTCCATTGGAACAGCACTGTATTAGGGTGGGAGTGTCTCGATTTTCCATTTTCTCGATTTTCTGTCACGGCTTCTCTTTGCTAGGAAAGGGAATTCCCCGACCCCTTGCACTTCCTGGGTGAGGCGATGCCCCACCCTGCTCCGTGGGCTGCACCCAGTGTCTGACAAGCCCCAATGAGATGAACGTGGTACCTCAGTTGGAAATGCAGAAATCACCCATCTTCTGCATTGCTCATGCTGGGAGCTGCAGACTGGAGCTGTTCCTATTCGGCCATCTTGGAACCTCTGGAACCTGTTTTAAATGGACTGATTTTTAAATCATTGTCTTGCATATTTCATGGTGATGGTTATTTGACTATTTTAAAGTATAATTACTGGGCAAGGGACGATTTTAAAAATAGTTCTTTACATATCAATGTTAACAACTTTTTGTTGTTTGTAGCTCAGATTTTAAAGTATCTCTATCACAGTGCTATTCAGTTTAGCTTTCCTGGCAAAAGAAGTGAGAATAATTTAATAAAAGGGAATCATTCTTGTAGTAAACAGTTTTTATGATAGATTTATATTATTCATGCCATGCTTTGAGAATAAAATTATACTTCATGTTAATTCCTTTAAGAGACAGAACATTTTGTTTGCTAAGCAGGAATCCATTGGTGTACTTTTATTCCTCATAAACAGCTTAGTGTTTCTGCCAAATGTTTTCATTCACAGAGACCTGTGAGATAAGAAATTTTGTGGATCACAAGAAAATTTAGTCCTGAAGAAATGCATAATTACACCTTAGTGTATACTTTAAAGAAGAGTAAGCTATCATCTAGAGTGAACACTACTACTGCTGTCCAATTTCAATGTTTGTTGTCTCTTAAGGGTAGTTCTTGCTGCAAATATTACTTTTTATATTAGCATGAAACACAGAAATCTACATGTAAAATGGCATATTGATTTCTTGAAGTCTTTAGAGATTTGATGCTCTGTTCAACAGTAAAATTAGTTTATAAGAAAACAGTGTACAGACCATTATATTAATAGCTTGTTTTTTAGGACATTTTGGTAGTGTTTTTTTTTTCTTAATTAGATTGTTACCAAAGTTCATTTGACCAGTCTTTAAATCTCAAGAGTAAACATATATAAGTGGAAATATGCATAAATGAAGGAGTATTCTTGTAATTGTCAGTAAAAAAAAATGCATAGATTGCCAAAATGTATGATTTGAAATAATGGTAGATTGTGGATTCCTTAGCAGATTGATAAATCAAGTGCTTTGTCACATGTATCCTTCATTACAGTAAAAATATCAGTTCCCTACATTTTGTCAGCCTTGGCTATAGATAGCAAAGGGAGTCACTTCTTAAATTTTGAAAGATGCCTGTGTATTTGACCTTCTATGTGAATGACATGTCTGTGGTCTGCCTTGGATATGGGTGATATGGGCATCTGTACTGTGCAGTGTTATAGCACAGGCTAAGCTTTTTTTTTTTTTTTTTTTTTTTTGGTCAAGCTCAAGGTGTAGACTTCAGTGTCTGAGGGCATTCTTATTTTTGAACACTGAATTCAACATTTGTAAGCATTCTGGTTTTTGAATCATAGAAATGTTTGATCTGCAGCACTTGACATTAGATTGCTTTTAGGAAGCAAAATGGACTCAAACTTCAGTCATTTCTAATAATAGTAAGAGCCTATTACAGTTTATGAAGTGCTTCATAGCTCTTACTTTGTTTTATCCTTATAATCCTGTGGAGTAGAGAGTGCAGGTCTCATTACCCCCTCTTTAATGTGAGAGCATTGATTTGTGCTTGTAATATTAGCTTTATTTAGGCATTAGAATGACCAATATTTTAACATGGGCATTTCTGTTGAGTCTTCAGACTTGAAGGTAATTCATTTGAAATAATCTTATAAGATCATATCATATGACTTCTTGTACATCTTTTAAATAACAACATGAAGAGCTTTCAAGTAGTTCTGATTTTTATTATGATCAGTGATTTTTTAAATAGGTATATTACAGATAAGTAAGTTTTGCTATCTAGCACTGTATCAAAGAATAGCTATAAATGAGCTCCTTGATCTCCCTCAATAATAAAATTTAGACTAGTAACTGGAATTAGTGCTATTAAAATTCAGACATAGTATCACTTTACTTTGAAATGCACCTAAGTTGAGAAATTTTGATGCAAATTTGAAATTGCCTTTGAATCACTGAGTGCCAGATTAAACATAGCACTTTTACCCACCAGTTCTAAAGGGCTATCTGTAAATTGAAAGCACAAATGTTGAAGGCAGTAAAACATTCTAGAATGTGCAAGTTGGCCCTTTCATTGCCAAAGAAGTAAAGTTTCTGGAAAGCAGGAAGACATTAAAAAACAAAAACAGAACTCAACACCTTTTAAAGTGATGGATGTGATGTCAAACAAGGTGCTCATTGGACTCTACTCCATTTCCTTTCCTCTGCAAGCTGCTCTGTCCTTCTGCCTCCAGCCTCCTGACAGTCCCTGTCATTGCTGGTGAGAGGTGATGTGTATGGCTGATGTGATGGGGGAAGGAAGGGATAAGAGAGGAAAACTACTGTTTTGTCTTCTTCATAGCTGTAAATTATTTTCTTGAGAAACGCAATTGCAGAATTTGTTCATAAAAATACCATGCTTGGTTGGTTTAGAGAAATAAAAGATCAGGAGGGACTAGAGAAATATTTCAAATGAAACTTTCATCTTTGGATTTTGTGTGTGTGTGTGTGTGTGTTTTGGTGAGAAGTTTTATTGTTTTGGGTCTTAGAGGTCCCCCCACAACAAAGTTTATTCTAAAACAAGTTTTTACTGCTTTGACTTATCTTAGATTGAAGCTAGTCTGTTGATTCAAACACATGAATACGTTTTTTTTTCTTACAAAATATGTTGAGCATTATATATTTTTGTTGACAATTTACAAGACGGAAAAATTAGGGAAGCAACAAAACTTTTCACAAAATATAGTTTGTTGGATAACAGCAAATTTGGATATTTTTAGGAAGAGTTGGATAATTTCCCTCAATTCGTGGGATGGCTGTTGTCCACTTTTGCACATGTTCTGCCTCCTGTCTGAGGCATTCACAGCTGGCTTTGGATTTCTGTGTCTCCTAAAGCTTCTGTGAATCTGAAAAGTCATTTCTGAAACTGTGGTCTGCGGCTGGGAGCAGTGGCTCATGCCTGTAATCCTAGCACTTTGGGAGGCTGACACGGGCAGATTGCTTGAGCCCAGAAGTTGGAGACCAGCCTGGCCAGCATAGTGAGACTATGTCCCTATTTCATAAAAACAAAGAAAAGAAAAATAAAATTATGGTCCAATTAACAAAATAATTGTTAAAATTAGGAAAAATGTCCTTGATCAAATCTGTTTGGGGTGAGCTGCATATGTGCATCTCTCCCATCTCCCCCCAGCCAGTAGAATCTCAATGTTCATTAGCTAATGATTAAAAGCTCTTGGTCTTCTGCTGTTAAAATTAAATCTGCCATTACATCTCCCAGATTTACTAGATTAAGAACAAATTTTGGACTCTGTGGAACATAAGTTGGGGAAATGTTGGTATATTAGCTGTCTGTTGCTGTGTAAAAAATTACCGCAAAATAAGCTGCTTAAAATAGCACTGGTTTATTGTCTCAGTTTCTGTGTGGTAAGAGTCTGAGTATGGCCTAGCTGGGTGCCTCTGCCTCCAGGTGTCCCTTCAGTCTGCACAGTCAGCTAGGCCTTCTCTTGTTTCATCTGAATGCTCCACTGGGAAAGGATCTACTTCTGAGCTCACATGGCTGTTGGCAACATTCTGTTTTTTGAGTCTCTTGGACTGCGAGCCTCTCACAGACACTCAAAGGAAGAATATTCCACAACAAAGTGAATATGAATAGGCAAGGGAGTCATGGGAACCACCTTAGCGTTTGCCAACCATTGTTGGTATCAAAAGTACTGTCCAATTATGTCGTGGTGATTAAACTATGTGATATGGTTTTCCATAAGGAATAACAGTTGGCTGGGCATGATGGCTCATGTCTGTAATCCCAGCACTTTGGGCGACTAAGGCAGGCAGATCCCTTGAGCTCAAGAGTTCAAGACCAGCCTGGGAAACATGGTGAAACCCCAACTCTACAAAAAATTAGCCAGGATTGCCTGAGCCCAGGAGGTCGAGACTGCAGTGAGCCATGATCTTGCCACTGCATGCCAGCCCAGGTGACAGAGTGAAACCCTGTCTCAAAAAAAAAAAAAAAAAATTGTTAGCATGTAGTGCATGTCAGCAGCTACCTTAGGGTGTAAAGATTTATAAACGGTATTGATAATGATGATGATTAATGATAGTACAGGTGATGATAAGGAAGCCTTATTGGTTGTTGCTCATGTGAAACACTAGGGTAAGCACTTTGCCTGTAGTATCTTTTCAAATCTTCACATAGTCTCCTTTTCTATATAACAGTTCGAGAAGTTATGTAAACAGAGGGCTGTAGATTGTTTTCAAACAGCTCACTGAGAAAATAGACAATTTATATCACTAACTATATTGTATGACAAGTAACTTCTTTATATAGAATGGCAGACCAGAAAAGGACACTGCACTTTTTGCTTGGGAGATTTAGAGAGAAAGACCTAAAGAATTATTTTCAAGGTCCAAATAGGATTTCATGAAGTTTTAAGACAAGGACAGAGACAGGGCTCAGTATAAGTAAAGGTAGGTAAGGTTTATGTTATGGTAATATTTCATAATCCTCCACTAGTAACATTCCAGAAGACAGAGCTTTTGCTGTGTAGCCATGAGCAGAAATGTTGATGTTCATGTGGACAGCAAAGCTGGAGAGTAGATTGTCAACAAGGTGGTAGCAACAGTAACAGATGGCAATTATTTGATTATATTTTTTATTATTTATTTATTCCCAGCCTCTTTCCAAAATGGCTCTGAAGCAGCTGCTGATCTGACGCTCCACTCGCTTTATTCTTATTTAGCCTGCAGGCTGTGCTAGGCAGACTTGTTTCCATCCAGCACATGCTCTCACTCCAGTTGCAGTCTCCAAGCTCCAACCTTCATCATGTGCCCCTGGAAAGGCGGTCAGTGCCCAGGAGGCCTTGGGGCGTGAGAGCAGTGGCACAAGAGGGTTTCAGCATGTGTTTCTCTGGCCTCCTATCAGCTGGAACCTGCTGCCAGTCAGGCGGGACTTAGGCCAGGACCAGTCCCTGCCCAGATATGCCCCTGGGACTATGGCAGAGCCCTGAGCCAGGTGCCAGCAATGTACAGTTTGCCATGTACAGGGCCAGTTGGCAGATCAAAGGAGGCCAGCCTGAGTGAATAAGTCCTGGTCCCATTTACCAGTCCTCTGGGATAGAAGGAGAGTGATAGCCAAGGCTCACAGCAACAACTGGGGATGAAAATCTAGGAACCTGTGTCTTTTCTGGAAGTCCTTCCCTTGAGCAGAGATGGCAGCAAAAAGGCAGGCTCCTTTTGCAGTGAACTTTAGTTTTAAAAGCATGGTATCAAGGAATTGGAAGTCCAGTATTTCTTCTAACTTTGTCACCAGTTAGTTTTTTTATTTTGGACAAGTCACTTAAATGGACAGTTGTGTTTTCTGTAAATTAAAAAACTAAGAATGAATTCAGTGATCTATTTTAGCTTTAAGTTATGGTTTTAATGTTTTTAAATGTTCCTTAAAAACTATTATTTTAGGTAAGTTATTCCATTCCCTACCAGATACAGATGTAGATGTATAGATACATACACCAAATTTGTGGTTGTTTCTTTAAAAATACTTTTGCTAACTTCAAACTAAACTGCTTGGCTCATGAAAAATTGAAGAAATTCAACAAATATAGAATTATTCGGACTGCCAGCCTTATATGGAATGGAGATTTTATTGTCTTCATGTATTGTCTTGTTTATTTTGTAATGCTATCACAGGATAGTACAGACTAGGTAATTTATAAGGAATAGAAATTTATTTCCTCAATCCCCTGGAAGCTGACATGTCCAAGAGCAAGAGGCCAGCCTCTGGTGAAGGCCTTCTTGCTGTGTCATCCAAGGGCAGCAGGTAGAAGGACAAGAGTGGGCAAGAAAGAGAGACAAAAGAGGCCCAAACTCACTTTTTTATATGGAACCCACTCCCAAGATAATGAACCAACTCCTGCCATAATGCCATTAATCCATTCATGAGGGCAGAGCTCTCATAACCTGATCAGATTTTAAATGTCTCTCTTCTTAATACTACTAAAATGGCAAGTAAATTTCAACATGAATTTGAGAATTGATAAACATTCAGACCATAGCAGTCATCATTCCAGTGACTGAAACTAGGTAATTAGGGAAAGGAATGGCAAATTTTAATGCTATCAGAAAGGGTTATTTTTAAAAGTAAATTCAAGGCAAATTTTTAAATATATCTTTACATTATACAAAAGGGGAATGCACAGTTATTTTCAAGATGTATTCATTGTTAAGACATTGGGAATAAGATATTAACAAAGAGAACTCTTGAAACATTTGCTTATTATCTTATGATTACAGTAGCTATAAATTCCTTAATTGCATGTATACCTATCTTTACATAATGGGCAATTATACCAATGATAACATGCATTCTGTTTTTTTTCACTAATATATCTATTAGTAAGATTTTCCATGTATTTGCTTTTACAATTATAAGTAATATATGTGCCTTGTTTTAAAATAGACGTCACAGATAGTCATAAAGAAGAACATAGGCTGGCCGTGGTGCCTCTCACCTGTAATCCCAGTGCTTTGGGAGGCTGAGGTGGGAAGATGGCTTGACTTCAGGAGTTTAGGATCAGCCTGGACAACATAGTGAGACCCTGTTTCTACAAAAATTAAAAATTAGCCACATGTGGTGACGTGCAGCTGAGTCCCAGCTACTCAGCAGGCTGAAGCAGGAGGATCAATAGAGGGAGGTTGAGGCTGCAGTGAGTCATGATTTTGCCACTGCACTCTAGCATGGGCAACAGAGCGAGACCCTGTCTTAAAAAAAAAAAGAAAAAAGAAGAAGAAGAAGAAAATAGACATTGCTATCTTCTTTCTCTAATTTGGCCATGTTAACATATTTTTCACCCTTTCCTATGTACTTACGTAACAATATATTTTTCTGTTTTAAAAAAAAGTTGCTTTATTTTTTTAACAATATATAAATTGCATTTTAAGGCCATGTGATTTTATTTGTTGAATTTTTCAACAGGCAGTTACCAGTTTATTTGTTGTCCCAAATGAAGTTCATAGAAAAGTGGAGATTTATGTGAGATACCAGAAATGCAGTAGAAAACAGACAAATGTTTTTCCATGAAATGGTCACAAATTTTATATCGAAATCTAGTAACATCATATTCTAACATGAATCAGTCCTTTGCTTCCTTTTACCTCAAAATATTCATAAAATGTACTACTAAGATTTTTAATGAAGAGAAAACTTTTGTCTAGAAAGCTAAGTGGTCTCCTATAGCTTTTTATCTCTTTTTTCCTTTGAACTCACTGTGGTTATGAGATTCTGTTAGTAGATAATGGGTTTGTTCAGCCTTGTTAAATATCATTATTTTAATTTTTGATATGTATCTAAAGCTGAATAATTCCTTAAACCTTTTGATTCTGAAACCTCAGCTTGGGTGCCCTCAGGAAGAGAATACTCTCCATCACAAAATAATTAACTGCTCCCTGATTTACCACTTACTTCCTGGTACACGAATGCATATGCACGCTGTGTCTGGCATCTAAATTAAAATATTTTAGGCCAGGAATGGTGGCTCACACCTGTGTTCCTAAAACTTTGGGAAGCTGACAAGGGAGGATAACTTGAGGCCAAGAGTTTGAGACTAACCTGGGTAATGTAGTGATACTCTATCTCTACAATTTTTTTTTTAATTAGATGGGCGTGGTGGTGCACACCTGTAGTCCTAGCTATTTGGGAGGCTGAGGCAGGAGGATCACTTAAGCCCAGGATTTCAAGGCTTCAGTGAGGTATGATCATACCACAGCACTCTAGCCTGGATGACAGAGTAAGACCTTGCCTCTTAAAAAATAAATCAAATAAATAAATAAGCAAACACATAAATAAATAATTCAAAGTATAGGACACTGTGAGTAATATTTAAGAATAAGTTCTCAAATTCTACATTGTTGTGTATTGTATGATATATATGGTAAACTGTAGAAACATTCCTGTCAGGAATCACATAGCTCAAATCATTAGCTGATTTTCGTTTTCTTCTTTTCTTTTGATATTTTTATTATCCAACTATAAAAATGAGGTGAACTTATTTTCAGATGTTTTCTTTTTATTGCATTATATTTTACATAAAATCAAATTGCCAATTACAATTTGATGAATTTGGTAAATGTAGTGTGAAAACCACCTCCACAATCAAGTTTTGTAGAACACTTTCATCATCTCAGAAAGTATCCTGGTTTCCTATAGCAGTCAAGTAAACATTGTATTTCTTGCTATTAATTGTTGTTTTTTCACACCTTAGTCAATCTGGAATAGTAGGATTTCAGATAATAAAATGCTGCATAGAAAACAAAATTTCTATCTTAGGAGATATTCTAGACCAGAGGTTGGTAAACTTTTTCTGTAAAGAGCTAGATAATAAATATTTTTGCCCATGAAGTCTCTGTTGCAACTACACAAAATCTGTTGTTTCAATGAAAAATCAGCCACAGACACCATCTCAACAAATGGATGTGGCTGGATTTGGTTCATGGAGCATAATTTGCCAACCCCTGTTCTAGACCTTTGCAGTTCAGTTGTTCTTACTAATAACCAATGAGCTGGTAATAAAGCATTTGGTTCAGTGAGATTTTCAAAGGAAAAATAGATAATGAAATAATTTGTAATATTATAATTTGGTATATACTCATCTTTAAAGTTATTATTTCTGAAAGTATCCAATATATGATACTCTAAAAACCTACAAAGCGTAGCTAGAGTAAGTTCATGTTACACAATTTTTATAGTAGTTGCAAAGAGATCATGAAAGAATAGTTTGGAATCTTTATGTGTATTGCAATTTGTATTAAAGCTCAAATTGTAGATCCTAAATCATACCACTAACTGATAAAATGTTTACAAATTGTTGACTTCTGTCACCCTGTATTTTCTTTTCATGTAATATTGCTAAATACAGATTTCTTTTTCCTGTACTAAATGGCAATCCTTTCTTAAATGAATAATCCATCTTTGTTTTGTGAGTCTTTCAAAACCATCTGAACAACTCCACTAAATCCTGTAGGTTTGAGAGCTTGTGGAATAAGAATGCCAGCCCTTGGGCTAATTTAGCACATGGACAGACTAGGCTTTTACATGGTGGAATGCTACCTTCTGAACATGTGGCCTTTCTCACAGGCATCTCTTCCCTCCTTAAAAGTCCAACTTGCTAATGTTATATTGTTTTTATTAAACTTTTGGGGGGTTAAAACTTAGTAATCTAGTTAAAAACTCAACCCAAATTTATTACTTCACATATTGCCAACAAATGACCTCATCATAGGAGCTACATGAAGTCAATAATTTTTTTTAAAAAATGAGTCATTTGTGACTTTATGATAATAATAGTGCAACAATGAATGCTAATGTAAGAAAACTATTTTTAGAAAAAGTGTTCTGTTAAATGGCTTACCTTTTGACTTAAAAGTTAGTAATGTGTGAAGTTGCCAGTAGTTGAAACAAAACAAGGTTTACAGAAAATAATTGATATTATAAAGGATATCTTTTAAAAATTCCATGTGTGTTTGCTTTGATTTTGAACACTAATTCCCTTGAAATTTGTTTTGAGACATATATACTGTATTTGTTTACAACATTTGATGCATTGTCATCTTTAAAGTTATATAATAGATTGGGAGTAATTTTGTGTCCATGATTTATTGTTTCGTACTTTGGCATTTTAACATATAGTCATAATTTCCAAGATTAATCAGTCCACATGTACTAAATTTTACTTCTATACTTATATTTCAAATATGGTTTCCCCTTTTTGCTCCTTTAACAAAATATTTAATGAGGGAAACAGGAATATCAATACAAGAGTGGATAGCGAAATAGCACTTTATGATTCTGTAACTCAAATTTGTTTTGAAGAGGATTTCTAAATTTCAAGTATCTTCAGCCGTAGTGTAAGATTTCAAATAAAGCTTTATTGGAGAAGATAAAGGTATTAAGGACAAGTTATTTGGACTGACAAGATGGGAATATTTAAAGTATACATAACAGATTCTGAAAAACTAGGACATGTGCTTCAGATGTAAGATTTCTTACTGTAATTCTTAAAGGCTAAGACATTTGTCTAGTATAGCACAAGATAAGTTTGAGTTTCATTGCTGCCAGCTCTTTATGGCAGTCTTCTGTGAACACTCTTGGTCCTAAAAAATACAGCATGTGTAAAGTTTACTGACAAGTGAGGATACATAGATTGTCGGGTTGCGGACAGTAAGTTCAAACTTATCAAAATCTGTCCAACTGTATTCTTGCATTCATTTGTATTGGTTATTAGTACAGTCTTCTTGGATGTAGAAATGCAACATTCATTGCATTCATTTTATGAATTATATAATTTTGTTTTAAAAGTCCTAGATGCTTGGCCAGTTTTGAAACTTTCATCATCTTGTAGAAATCTATTACAGGATTTATTCTGCAAGCAAGTTTCCCTTCAAGGAAGATTTTAGTTTTTAACTTCTAAATTGTTTGATGATTCAGATTGTGCATGCAAGCCTATCCCAGGTTTTAGTAGCTAAATGAGCTATTATGCAGACAAGCCTGAGCTTTGGAAGGCAACTTGGTTGTACTAGTGAGAATATTTAAATAGTAGTTTATTTCTGCTTGTTCCACCCAGTCTTTAACTCACTCCTGCCAGCCACCAGTTTTCCTGCCATGCCATGAAAGCCTGTCATTTACAACCGATGACTATTTTAGAACCAAACCGTAGTGAAATAAGGCTGGAGTCGGGGGGATGTAGGGAGCTGAGACTGCCCAGGGCTGTGTGAGGACTTATTAGACCCTTTTTCTTTCTCTCTTTTTTTTCTGTAGGTAACATGTGCACCCTGTAATAGACATTGCAAAGAGTACAAAATGGGAGTATAGTGAAAGTTAAATTTTCTTCTCTCCTGTTTTCTTGTTCCTTTCCCCACAGGCAGTTGCCTTTACCAGTTTTCTTATGCATCTTTCCAGAGATCCAATATGCAAATAGAATCACACATTTTTTACATAAATAATACCTAATATGCCCCCTGTTATTTATTTTGTCTTTTCCATTAACAATATATTATAGTTGGTTCCATATTAGTACATAGCGATTTATTGGCCTTATTGGCTGCATTTTGTATCTGTACTGTAATTCCAGTTCTTTCCTGGAGTTTGAAGTTATTTTTAGTCATTTGCTACAAACAATGTCACAATGAATCTCCATGCCCGTAAGTCTTTGTATGTATAAATATACAATAAGGCTGGGTGCAGTGGCTCATACCTGTACTCCCAGCACTTTGGGAGGCTGAGGCAGGTGGATCACTTGAGTCCAGGAATTCTAGACTAGCCTGGACAACATGGCAAAACTCTGTCCCTACAAAAAATATAAAAATCAGCCAGGTGTGGTAGCATGTGCCTGTAGTCCCAGCTACTTAGGAGGCTGAGGTGGGAAGGTCGCTTGAGCCCGGGAGGTTGAGGCTGCAGTGAGCTGTGATTGTGCCACTGCCCTCCAGTCTGGGTGACAGAACCAGACCTTGTCTCAAAAAAAAAAAGTGTATATCTATCTATATCTGTATTTATATCAATATAGATATATGTATTTATATAAATCTATCTATGTATATATATGATAAACACCTAGAATAAAGTTGCCACTGGTCACTCTGAAACTTCTGAAAAATAACCAATGGCTTCCAAGTTCAGTTCAACCAGTTAACTCAATGAACACATTACTCATGTATTGATCCTGGGGGCTTTCAACAATCAGACATGGCCTCTGCCTTAAATAGGTTAGGGCCACTTTCATGTGATGGTTATGCTTCAAGACAAAGTGCTGGGTGACAAATCAGAGGTGCCATTGAATCTTGAGGAAGTCCACAACAGGGAAAAATAACTTGTAACTTCAGTAATCAAGGAGAAATTAGAGGATGGGTTGAGATTAGAATTAGATATGGGAAGTGGCAGAGAAGGGCATGTGGGGAGGGTGCCTGGAAGCATGGATGCACCAAAGTGCATGAAGGACATACTGCATTCTATCACATGGACCTCCTCACCATACCTGTGACATGCCAGGCCCACCCTGTCTCAAAACGTGAGCATCTGCTGTACCCACTGCCTGAATCACTTCCCCTAGATTTCTTTATGGCTTGGTCTCTTTCCAGGACATTGGGGCTCCTCAACATGGGCCCTGGTTATTTGTTTAGTTTGTTTGTCTGTCTGTTTTTAGAGACAGGGTCCTGCAGGAGAGCAAGACAGGGTAAAGAGCGGTGGTGCAATCATAGCTCACTGCAGCCTTATATTCCTGGGTTCAAGTGATCCTCCTGCCACTTGAGTAGCTGGAACTACAGGTGCATACTGCCAAACCCAGCTATTTTTTTTTTTTAATTTTTTGTAGACATGACATCTTGCTATGTTGCCCAGGCTGGACTCAAACTCTTGGGGGCCAGCAGTCTTCCTGCCTTAGCCTCCCAGGTAGCTGAGAATACAGGTGCATGCCACTGCACCCAGCATGGGCCCTGCGAGTTTGCACCAGTGCATCAGGTGTTGTTCTGTTGTGTCTGAAGCAGGTGCCTCATGTTCTTGTACCTTGCTATTCCTTTTCATGCCACCATACAAGTGCCTGTAATGTTGACCCTTAGGGCACATCCTGGCTCCTCCCTGGTGTCTTCCACTGCAGTGGCTATTCTGGCTTCCTTTGCCATCTGCCCAAGGGCAAAGCTGACCCTTTTCTTAGTCGGCTACAATGCAGCTGATATCTGGCTGTTATTTCCAACAAGATTTTATGAAGGCTGGACATTTGGGGATGGGCAGGGCAGAGCAGAGGTATCACCCACTTCTCTTCAAAGTGCTCTGCTCGGAGCTTAGAGGATCAGTCTCAGTGTGGGGGAAAGGGATCCCTTATCTTTATTTCCTGTGCATCTCTCTCTGACTAGGGCCGGATTCTCTGTTTCCCTAGTGATTACACCCTAGGCTTGCTACCTGGAATTCAGGCCCTACAACCCCAAGGCTTGGGAAGGAATATTCTCTCCCTGTGAGAATCTAAGGTGCCTGGGAAGTCTCATCTTAGATCTTGGAGTCCACCTTCCAGCACATAACGTTTATACAAGACAGAGCTCTGGGTGAGAAATCAGAGGCACAGTTGAATCTTGAGAAATTTCACAAGAAGAAGAAATGGGTTGAGAAATTTCACAATAAGGAGAAATGACTTTTGGCTTCAGGGGTTAAGGATCTGATCACAACCAACAGTCCCACATCAGTAATCCTTGTGAGATTTAGACTTAAATGTTACTGCAAGTTGGGCTTTATTGGTCCATTTCTTTGGAGGATGAATAGCTTTCAGCACACACCCTTTCTTCAGTTCTCTGAGTTCCTGAAAACTGCTGATCAAGAATAGGGGGAACCTTCATTGTGCAGTCTCTATGTTCCCTGAGTCAGTAAACATCTTCCTCAAAGAAGCCACAGAGCCTCAGAAACATGGCTCTGCTAAAACATGCACCCGGCTTACATGAAACACTTTCTTCTTTTTGAAACATCAAGATGCAGGTTAATTTCACTGCTTGCCCCAGAACAGTGGGTAGGGACTTGCTTTATATTTATATAACAGAATTTGCCGTTAAGTTGATTTTTCCAAGAATAAAGAAACAGCCTCAAATGTAAATTCAGGTCTCTTCCTTCAGTAAAGCTGAACAGCTGGAAGCTTTGAAATGAGTATTTTTATACTTCTGCCTGTCAAGGTTTTTTTTTAAAAAAAACTGTCGAGTCTGGACATACCTATTTCTATGGCTCAAGTTAACTCGTTGAGAGGCAGCTAAAGTGTCGTGCTGAATCAGAGAAGCCTGATATTTCTGTGGTTGAGCTCTAAGCTGGCTTAACACATCTACGTATAATAATTCATAGCCTGGAATCCTAGTAAGCAAAGGAAGAATTAATCCCCTTTCCAAGTGTGTTTTACAGAGACTTAGTCTTGTCTAAATTGTACATTTTACATAAGACCCAGTGTTACGTAGAGATGGAGAAGAGGTGGGGAGTGGTGGTAAAAAATTGAGACAATCATAAGAAATGATCCTTGCTCTTAGGGAGTATATTTTGTATAGCTAGAGAGGTAAACAGAGATAAAAATATAAATAATAACAGATTTATATACTGTCTGCCAAGTGAGCTGAATAGAGATTGAGATGTAATATAAAAGTTTAGAGGAGAAATTAATTCTTGAGGTTTTATTTATCTAAAATTTAAATATCATATTAGATAAAATTTGAGAAAAATTGATTAGTCAGGAAAGTGGCTCCCTTACTTGTATTTAAGGGCTGGTAGCTTGTATATTAATAGCCTTATGGTATAAATAAGAATATTAATAGCCTTATTAATAGACTTGTATTTTTATTTACAATATTCGTGTGCATCATAAACATATTAAAGTATTTTATGTCTGTTTTGGGGTTACTTCTTACCCCCTAAAGGGGATCTTGAGCTTTAACGTGATTCAACTTTACTCATATTAAGTTCTTTAACGTTTTGAAATCCAAGGATAGGTTTTCTATTGAAGTCTCAAGGTGAAAACAGAGATGTTCTGGATGAGTTGGGGTGGGTCCTGCTACAGTTTGAGTGTTTCCCCCAGAATATGTTTTGGAAATTTGGTCCCTAGTGTGGCAGTGTTGGGAGGTGGGACCTTTAAGGGGTGATTAGGTTGTTAAGAGGAATTAATGCTGCTCTTGCAGGACTGGGTTAATCCTCACAGGAGTGAGTGAGTTCTTGCTCTCAGGGAACTGGAATAGTTACCATGAGAGTGGATTGTTATAAACTGAGGTTGCCCATCATGTTTTGCCCTTTTGTACGTGCACACTTCATCCTTCCACTTCTCTACAACATGATGACACAATACCAAAGTCTATCCAGATGCCAATCAGATGCAGCTGCCTGATTTTGGACTTCCAAGCCTCCATAACCATCAGCCAAAGTAAACTTTTTTTCTTTATAAATGACTCACTTTCAAGTATTCTTTGATAGCAACAAAAAAATGGACTAAGACAGGTCCATCCCTGTAGGCTGGGATGACACACAAGTGCGATCTGCCAAAGGAACCTCTGCTTCAGAGGTTCATACTAGGTGGTTGTCCTTGCCAGATATGTCAGTTTATCAGTAGACTTACTGCAGGCCAGACGTCATGCCAGGAACTGGAGATACAAAGGCAGGTGAAATGTGGCCATGGCCAGGTGCAGTGCCCCACGCCTGTAATCTCAGCACTTTGGGAAGCTGAGGCGGGAGGACCACTTGAGCCCAGGAGTTTGAGACCAACCTGTGCAACATGGCAAGATTCTGTCTCTACAAAAAATTTAAAAATTAGCCAGACATAGTGATGCACGCCTGTAGCCCTAGCTACTTGGAGGCTGAGCTGAGAGGACCTCTTGAGCCCAGGAGTGTGAGGCTGCAGTGAGCTGTGATTGTGCCACAGCACTCCAGCCTGGGTGACAGAGTAAGATCCTTTCTCAAAAAAGGAAAAACATGTGGCCTTATTTTGGGAAAATTGGTCTGCCCCACCTGTGTGGGGCAGGTGGCAGCTGTCATGTAAATGAAAGACTTTGCTGTGTTTATCTGTTAAGTGCAGTGCTGAGGTAAATCAGAGAACAGAGGAACGTTCATTACCTGGACCAGGAAGGGGAGGGCAAGTCAGGGAAGCTTCTGGAGGCCTTGGCCCTGAGCATAATTTTGAAGGATATGTAGGAGTCATCTGCTGAATAAGTATTAATAATTACAGGATATGAGACCATGTTGTGCCAATGAACTGACATAAGAAAAAAATAATTACTGGTAATTTGATTGGCTGCTAACAGTTGGCTAGAACATAGAAAGGGATGGGAAGAAACAAGGTAGTCACATGTTCTTTTATTCCTTGGAATTTGGACTTCAGGGTAAAGCCCAGAGGATCTATTAAGATTTTTAGCAGAGAACTGGTTTAATCAGATGGTGTTTTAGTTTATGGTAATAGCCAGTATGAATTAAGTGTTACTCTAGGCCAACTGTATGATTAAGCATTTTTCATGCATTATCTCATCTAATTCGCACAAATACCTTTCGAGTTAGATGTGGCTATTGTATCAGGATTCTAGAAGGAAACAAAGGGCAACACAAATGGGGCAATTGAGGGGTGTTCGATGAAGGGACTGTTTATGAAACTCTGGGCAGGGTTAAGTATGTGGAACCCTTTCAGGCTAGCAATAGTGTGGAAAATTTCACTACTCCTCCGGGGAGAATTTAGAGAAATTGGTTCTGGAACTGCCTGAGCAAGAGCTGTAGCCTTCTAAGGAATAACTTAGGCAATACCATTTCCTTGTCCAGCTGGGAAGAAGCCAGGAGAACAAATATACTGAGCTCACTTTTCTCCTTCCTTATGATCATTTGGTCAGTTTGCTGCCCATTGGCCAAACCCAACTTGAGGCCAGGGGACAAGGACTTTGTAATTACACGCTCATTAAGGACAGCCTGTGGGGAGCAAAGAACAGGGTGAAGGAGAGTCAAGAATGCATCAGAAGAGGCAAATTCAGAATATCTAGCAGAGTTTTACTACATGTATTTCACAGACAAAGCCACTGAAGCTTAGCCCCAAATCACACATCTTGTAAGTGGCAGTCATAGCTGACCCCAAAGAGGAAGCTCTTACATACTACATCAAACTGTCTCTTCATCAGAATATGGAAGAGGAGTAGGAAGGGCAAACTTTGCAGCTAGGAGACCAGTTAATAGGCTCAAGACCCAGAAGTGTTTAAGTCTGAGGGCTTGATGTGGCAGCAGCAGTGGGGAAAAAGAAGGGAATGGATTAGAAACAGTGGAGTGGAGGCAGAATGAACAGAACTTTGGGCCTCAGTTTATTTTCTGTTTAAAAATAAATAAGAATATTATAGAAGATACAGACTGTCTTAGATCCTTGCCTGAATGAAAGCTCTGTGATGATTCTTCTCTGTAGTGATTGTGGTATGTATTTATTTCATGGAATTAATGTATTTTTGAAAATATTCCCTAAATGCTTCTTTTGGAGATTCAAAGTTGTGACATTTATTTACTACATTAGCAATGCCCAACTCCAATTTCAAGACAACCAAGATTGTCACCAGGTGTCACAAAGTAGCTTTAAAATTATCAAAATAAAGATGTGCATATCTTTTAATAGGCCTCTCCTCAAATAGAATGATGAAAGAAAAGAAAATACTAAAAGCATGGTGAAAATAATTCAGAAAACCTGGGCAGCAACCATAAAATGTAAAAGTATTACAATAATTCAATATGACCCAAAGCTTTTTTTTCTTGAATTTGCTCAATAATCGCCTCATTAATTTGCACTGATTCATAAGGGCATTTATTATTGAAGAAACATAAAAACCTCTTAGTTCATGTTTGAAAGTAGTTGCCTATTTTTATCTCATGGAATGTTTTAAAAATTCACTTCAGTCCGGGCATTTCAGAAGAGCCTTTTATTTCAGTGTTATTTATTACATGCCCTTTAGATTGGCTTTGACCACACCCCAGTTTGAGGTTTCTGAAAACAAAAAACAAAAAACAAACAAACAAAAAACTGTCCTTAGGATCCTGTAAGATAAATAGGCCATTCCCTTTTCACGGTCCCCGTCTCCCAGCAGTTTCCATTTCCCGCTGTTACCCTGCAAGCCATCACAGCCTTCTAGCTTACTGCTCCATTTATGTGTCTACTGCCTTCCACCCTTTCCATTTTAAAACAAAACAAACCAACAGACAACGCAGATAAGAGTTGTTCTCATTTCAGCAACCAGACCCTAGCTTGAAGTTTCCTGAGCTTTTCCCTGCAGTATTTCCTTAACGATTTTCTCTTTTCTTCACAGGCTTTTTGTCTGATTATCTGGAGGCTCTCTAGACAGCGTCAGTCATTCTCTCTAATGTACTCGTGTTTTTGGAACCTTTTTCCAGAACAACCAGCCTGTGTTTTCAGTTCACTTCCCATTCCTGTCTTCGCTGCCATCCATCCCACAACCTTATCCCTTTCAGTCTCCCTCACCAGGCTAGCTGGTCACCATTCTGGACTTTGGATCTGCTGGTCTAGGCTACCATCCAATGTGAGCCCCACACTTGCCAGGCAACCTGTTCCCAAGTTCCCAGTCTTCTTGGGGAGGTGATAGCACTACCTGCATTTTCCCAGCCACTTACTACAGTATGACCTGGGGTAAATTAGTTTCTCTAGGCATTAGTTTTCTTTCTGTTATATTGGGATACGAATAATCTTACGACACTCTAAGTTGTGTAACCATTAAATGATATAATACATTTAAAACCATTAGAGTACCTAACAGATTATAACTGCTCAATAAATTATCTTGTGCTTTGCCTCTGTGTAATGAGCACTGTACATCCACTGATTTTCATGATTTTGTATTATCTACAATAAGACCAGGTAAGGATATTGCCTCCTCCTACTACTTAAAAAAGAAAGAAAGAAAGAAAAAGAACTCTAGGTGGTTTAGGAAGGAAATGGGAAGAGTTTTCTCATAAGCCTCCCATACAAACACTCATACTAATTTTTTCTTTTAAAAACTAAAGAAATTAACACACTAACAAGAGCATATGTTGTCATTTTAAATATGTATGTATAATAAATTTTATATTTATAGATTGACTTCTTTCCTATCAAATGCAAAGTATTTCTCTGACATAAATCACAGTTAGTCTTACCTTACTTGACATAATTATGGTTGTAATTATTTCAATAAATATTTTCTCTTTAACACATATAGATACATACTTGTATAATGTTTTGAGTATATATTAATTCATGTTTACAAACAAATGCCTTAAAAGTTCTGAATATTATGCCTTGACTTAAAACAGATTCTTATGATGAATTAATGGGTTTTAACTTTAATTTTTGAAAATTGGTAATAAATCAGCATCATTATGGAAATTCATCAAAATTGCTGATTTAGTCAGGTTTTGAAATTCATTTTTTATATTATGTTGTCATCTAGCATTGGAATAATAACCACAAGTTTCATTAACTGAGAAGCAGAAACTAGAAAATGAGATGTAAACCAGTGAACTGTGAAAATGATGATATATTCACATATACTCTATTGAAAATGATTTTGCATTCTCTGCTAATGCAGATGTGATATGGGATTGTTGAGGTGGAATTATTTAAGGGGCTGCTTAAGAATTTAAGCATATATGATATTCATACATTGACTAAAGAAGATTTTAGTGAAAATTATTTTCTTAGAATCACTGAGCATTAGTACTTGAATGAATTAGTACTTAAAGTTAACCTAGTCTGTCCCAGGAGTCAGCAAACTTTTTCTTACAGGGCCAGGTACTAAATATCATAGCCTATGGGTCAGATGGTCTCTGTCAACTATTCAGCTCAGCTGTTTAGTGCATAAGCATCTATAGGCAATATGTGAGTGAATGGATGTAGCTGTTTTCCACCAAAATTTAATTACAAAGACAAATGCCTGGCTCTCAGGCCATAGTTTGCTGACCCCAGATCTCAGGCCCCTCATCATACACATAGTGAAACCAACACTAGAAAGCTTAAGTCACTTAATCAAGGAGAAATAACAAAATAACAAACCTAGATAGTGCCAGAACCTCTACCAGGCATTTAGTTTTGCCATATGACAAGTCTTCCAATATGCATGCTAATGCTCTAAGAACAACAGCATGTTTATCATTATAGTATTTAGCCAAAGAATTCTAACTAGTTGGTTTTCCACATCTATTAATTTCACTTAAAGTTGTTATTTCCCAGAAAACCATATTGTTTTTATTTTCTATGCAAAAAGAGAAAAAACAGAAAAAAATGTAATTCCTATACTGTATATGAAAGTTAATTATTTGAATATTTTCTGTCTTCTTTGGAATGCTTATATTAAAATATTATTTCTGTTATTTAAAAATTATATATATGTGTGTGTGTGTATAGTTTTTTTATTTGTTTGTTTTGTTTTGTTTTGTTTTGTTTAGATGGAGTTTCACTATTGTTGTCCAGGCTGGAGCAGTGATGCGATCTCGGCTCACTGCAACTGCACCTCCGGGGTTTAAGTGATTCTCTGTCTCCGCTTCCTGAGTAGCTGGGTTTACAGGCGCCCGCCACCACACTTGGCCAATTTTTTGTATTTTTAGTAGAGATGGGGTTTCATCATGTTGGCCAGGCTGGTCTTGACCTCCTAACCTCAGGTGATCCACCTGCCATGGCCTCCTAAAGTGCTGGGATTACAGGCATGAGCCACTGCGCCCGGCCAAATGAAATATATTTTTTAAAAAATCTGTGCCGTTTAGGATATATATAAATTAGGCATAATTTATTGAACTTAAAAAATTCAGGGATAATTAAATAAAATCAAATATTACCTTAACATGTTTCAGTGTCTTCTGGACTTAATTCCTTTTTATTTATGTTCAAAGAATACCCTTATTCAGTAGAAAGACTACTGAATGAATCTAAACATTTTTAAGGGATTTTGGTTTCTTATAAAAAGTAGCACTGTTGAAAGTCTGGACAGAAACCAAAACAAAGATGTTACATACAAAGGAAAGAAAAGGATATTTTAATTGTAATCTTGAAACTACTTTTCCACCTTAAACAACACCATAGGATGGCAAATGTATTTAAAAAACAAACAAACAAAAAACATAGACCTGTCCTCAGGGCGCCCAATTTTCTGGAAAGGATACACTTCCTATTAAGTCAAATAAGAGGGAGGGAGTTGGTGGGTACCCACATCTCATAGTGATTATATGAGTAGATTGGGCATTTAAGTCTTTTATTGTTATTGTTACTGTTATTCGCATTGAGGAATGTTCCAATTAAACAATAAAATTAATTTTTGTTTTTATTTTTGTTTTTTGAGACGGAGTTTCGCTTTGTTGCCCAGGCGTGATCTCGGCTCACTGCAACCTCCGCCTCCTGGGTTCAAGTGATTCTCGTGCCTCAGCCTCTCGAGTACCTGGGATTACAGGCGCGTGCCACCATACCCAGCTGATTTTTTATTTTCAATAGACACGGGGTTTCACCATGTTGGCCAGGCTGGTCTTGATCTCCTTCAGGTGACCCACCTGCCTTGGCTTCCCAAAGTGCAGGGATTACAGGTGTTAACCACTGCGCCTGGCCAACAATAAAAATAATTTTAATAAAGGTAGATCATTTATTGTCTATATTTTGAAGATAATATTGTGCCATGGTCAGACTTGCTAGTGTAATAATCCAATAAGAGATGATATGAGGACCTAAGAAGGAGGAAGAAAAGAGGGAAAATTATAAAGTAAAATCCACTGGGTTTTGTGATTTTGTAAGTGCAGAGAGACTACACCAAAACAAGACTTCCAGCTTTGGTGAATGGATGGATGGTGATGTGTAGCAGTCAGCTGGAGACGCTAGAGGATGTAGTACTGGTTAGAAAATTGGAGACAGGAGAAATGTTCAATTGAGATACCTGTGGACTATCATGGAAGATCTAAGTGGACATTTTTGATTTAGAAACATGAAGCTTTAGGGGAAGATTGATGCTAGCTATATGTGTTTGGGATCATCAGTATATATAGATAGTAACTTAAGCCATGGGAGTAAATGGAGTCATTCAGGGAAACCTTGTCAAGTAGAGAGAAAAGATTAAAGGCTAGAACACCATAAGAAAATATTTGTTTGTTGGTTGTTTATTGATACATTATAAAAGCAGCAATAGAGTATCTTCAAACAGTGTTACCACATCATAAGATATTTAATATAGTATAAATCCTGTAGGAGGGAGAATATTCCATTAAAAAATTATATCAAAAATGAGATTCTTGGCCAGTCTTTGGCTGTGGAATGGGAATGAAATCCAAAAGCCTTCACCCCGTGGACTGATTCATGGAATAGAGAAGGCCTCAAGTCTTTCCCTTCCCAGTGTAACTGTCTTATGGTAAAATATTATCCAAGCATTTTATGTCTGTTTGGAGTCAAGTGATAAAGGAACCTTTCTCCTAGAAATATTGATTTTGTGATTAACTAAGAGCAAGACTTTTTTTTTTCTGATTAATTTGGGGAGTAAGGTGTGTTGAGAGAGAGTTGTGGGAGTTGCTCTATAATATAATATGAAACCACTGACCAACACAAAGCTTTGGCCCATTTTCTGGAATGACTCTGAAGTAATGAAAGATACTATTTCTATACCGTATTTTTGTTGACTCTGCAAATTCAGCTAGATTTGCTGTTATTAATTTCACTTAGTTAGAAAGGAGTAAGTCAGTGTTGCCACTTCCTTCTCAATTCTTTAGTCAAAGCAAAGGAATGGGAATGATCATTTCTGAACCTTATCCTAGGTTCAGCAATTTTCTCCATAGAGTTAAAGAGATTGCTTAAATCCCTAGCCAATTTTACCACCTACAAAAAAAAGGATGCACTGGAATTTGAAGGAATAATTAAATGTACATGGAATATAAGTTCTAGTTTACATCTGTGTACAGCTAAAAGAAAAGAACCTTGGCTGTTTTTGGAACTTGAAACAGTTACTAGTAAAGTGCATTTGCTCCTGGACTCTTTTGGTGTATTCTCTGTATTAATTCTGGCTGGAGTTATATTGAGTGCCTGTAGGACATCTAGCACCTATGCCTAGTAAGGAATTACATAGAACCAGGTCTGAAGCCCAAAGACAAGTATAAGCTGGAGGTAAAATCTTGGGAGAAATCATCTATGGATGGCAGTTAAAAAACTCAAAATAAGGCCCAGTGACCTATAAAGTGTATATATTTGAGAAAGCACTGGTTTGAGCGTATGTGTATATAACCATAGGCAAAACCAGCATTTAAGGGGCAAAAAGGGGTAGGTCCCAGAAGGAGACCAAGTCATTCCTGGTTAACTATCCTATATCTGAGAAATAAAGGGAGAAAATGTAGAAGAAAGGGAGTGGTCAGCAGAGTCTAATGCAGCAGAGGCTGTTATGATGAGGCCTGAAGAGTCTCCATTGTTTGGTGCTGAATGGCTGGTCTGCGTAGGGAAAATGTCGGGAGCACTGTCCCGTGGTTTATTCTGTGTCCATGCCAGAGGGTAGAACCAGGCTCAGGGTAGCAGCAGATATTATCTATAAGATAACCATCTTATAGAGATGTGAGGAGGAATTTTTTTATTGGATAAGAGGTTAGCTATAAAGCTTCTTAACTCCTCCAGAAATCCAAGATTCTGCTATGCTAGTATCAGGGTAGCTCAACTTTGAATCATTGGCAGTAGGGCTTGAATAGCAGGATTATCCCTTTTACTCTGGGGTCTTTCATTAGTTAGAAATGTCAACACTGTAAAGTTGGATACACTGAATTTTATGCAAGCCATTTTAGGTGCCCATCGGAATTGTACCCCTTCATGAGCACACACTCAGCCAAAGCAGCAACGTGCATATAACCTGCACTTGTCTGGTTAGCACTTTGCTTTTTGTCTTTTAAATCAAACTAAACATTAATATAAGAAGTTTTGATAATAATCCATGAACTGCGTCTTTTTTAAAAGGTAGTGTAGCTCTGTTCCTGTAGTGTAACCATAGCAACTGACAAAGAACAGAGAAAGAAAGCTTTCACACATGCTGTGCTAATTAATCCTGTCCTACAGTTTTCTTTCAACTGAAGAATGCAGTTTAATAAATTTTGCATGAGTAAGCATGTTTTGATGCATGAACTGTATAAACATATAGCAATATCTTTACCAAAAATATTTGTTAAAAATGTAGTTATATATATTTATACTTCAAAGTCTCTTTCTCTCCTCTTTTGTTCATTCTTTTCTTTCTCTTTCTTTGCTTCTTTTTGTCTTTCTTTTATTTTTATTTTTTGAGTCATTGTTTTAATGATTTTCTCCCTTCCTGAAAAGTTTTGGGATTTTCTTATCCTATTAACCAAACAGACATTTTTAGGGTAAAAATTTTTTGTTCATCAATATAGAGGACACTTTCTACAATAAATTGTTTTAATTGACTGTGTTCAAATGAGATGAGAGAATTTTTCTCAAGCAATGTAGAATAATGTATCTTAAAAATATAATAACATTCTTCACTCTGACACATTTACATGCAAACCATTTTAAGAGACTCAGTCTTAAGCTTTGAAAAGTTAGATATTGAAAGTTATTTTTACTGTTATTTTGGGAAGTTATGTGGCTCATCTGAATAAAATTGGAGTAGTCTTTGGCCTAAACATGTGGGAAAAAAGACAGTAATGTAGATAAAGCACTTTTTTCTATTTGTAGTTTCCAAAAATATTTAACCAGTCTAGCAAACTCATATTCAGAGTGAGCATAGTTGATCTGAAATTACATGTGGTTATTTTGATTTATACTACTTCTAGATTATTTTGAGGTCTTATTTTCCCCTTTACAACTGGGAACATCACAGTTTTTTTATAACTAGCCTGGTCTGAGCTGTCAATGAAAATCTTCAATTTTTTTTCATTCTCTCATCCTTCTGGCTTAGCTTTCTGACAACAGGGCCTCAGGAAAACCAAGAGAATCAAGCTGGAATGTTTGTAGCATCCCATTTGACTTGACAACAGCATATGGAACAAGTCAGAACCTATTTCAGGACTTGTGCCTGGCTCTTTAGTCTCCATATGGAACCATAGGCATTTGAGGAACCAACCCTTTTGATGGGGTTACCAAGTTCTGGAGACACTTTATCATCTTGATTGTCCTATCTATTGTTCAATTTTGCCTGAATTAATGTAGGATAAAACCTTGCAGAGGAAAGAAGGAAGAGGTTGTTATAGAAATCTATTATCAAAAATAATTACTCCATTCATGTGGAGAAAAATTGGGGACCAGGAATGTGTAAGTATGTCTGTGTGGTATAATCTGTACATTTTAATATGGAATACTTGTAAATATCAACCAATTTATAGTATACCATTGCATTATTATTAAAACTGACTGGTAGAAAAAAATTAGGGCACTGTAACCATGGCTGAATTAATTAGAAATTCTTTGTCTTACCAGCTGTCTTATTAACTTTAAAATTTACATATAATACTGAAAATGGAATGCTACATTTAATAAATAAGAAAAAGCCATTTCCTTACTACATAAAAATTTTTAAATAGAACATTAAAATGAATATGTTATGGTAGGTTCACTGTAAAAATGTTTTAAGTGCTATAAACATAACAGTAAATAATACTTTATACTTGTCACTAATGAATACAGCTAGATAGAAAGCTGTCACACAGGTTTTTTTCTTTTAAAAAATGACATCTATAGATTTTGTGATTTTTAAAATAATTGCACATTCATTCCACAAATCTTGGGAAAACACTCAGAAAAACTTACTAAAAAATAAAGATAATCCCATATTCCAGAGGTAACCACTGAAGACATTTAAATGTATTTTCTGCCAAACTTTTTTCTTTTTTTTTTTTTTTTTTTTTTTTGAGACGGAGTCTCGCTCTATCACCCAGGCTGGAGTGCAGTGGCGGGATCTCGGCTCACTGCAAGCTCCGCCTCCCGGGTTCACGCCATTCTCCTGCCTCAGCCTCCCAAGTAGCTGGGACTACAGGCGCCCGCCACTACGCCCGGCTAATTTTTTTGTATTTTTAGTAGAGACGGGGTTTCACCGGTTTAGCCGGGATGGTCTCGATCTCCTGACCTCGTGATCCGCCCGCCTCGGCCTCCCAAAGTGCTGGGATTACAGGCGTGAGCCACCGCGCCCGGCCCTTTTTTTTTTTTAGAGGGAAAAAAAAACAGACCTACAAATATTTTTTCTGTGCATGAGTATTTATGGTTATGAGGTCAAATTGCGTATACCTTTTCACTTAACATCTTCCCAGTTTAAAAAAATTCTTAGAGGACATTTTAATTTATCATATATAATCTCATCAATGTATGTACCAGATTTGACTATTCCTTTATAGTTATTTATTTAGATGTTTTTTCAAAAGAGCTTCTGCAATAAGCATTTCCTAGTGAGTATTTGACAGAACACTGAAACCACAAGAAATTTTAGGACAATTCTTTGGGGAAAGTATTATACTCTCCTCTTGCAGATTCACAATACGCATTAGAACAATTAAGAAAACTGAGAAGTTTCACAATTTAAGGATTCTTTAAGTTTCTAAATCTGTTTTTTCTCAGTTATTTGACCAAGGAACCCTTTCTCACAATACTTATAAATCTGAAAAATTCAAGAGACTTCTAAGCTCCTGTGTTATGATAGTTTGTGAATTATTTGTTTACTCTGCTGATATTTTATTAGATTCATGACATCAGTGCTTTATTAGGAAATAGAAATGTTTTAATGGTTATTAGCATGTGTTAAAAACAGAAACCACAATATGCTTTCCCCAGTTTTCTATTAACCTTGATACTGCACTCCTGATTCTGTATTAAAAGGTCGGGTTTGACCTTTAAGAATGTGAACGTTCAAATTTAAATTCCCTTGTTTTGCTAATGCCTGTTAAACTTCTTTATGTTTCATATAACCCACAGGTCTTGCAAGAGCAAAATCCGTCCCTAGCCACACATACTCCAACGAAGTGGTTACCTTGTGGTACAGACCTCCAGATGTCCTTCTAGGCTCAACAGAATATTCCACCTGCCTTGACATGTGGTGAGAAATGGAAGCTTTACTCTAGCTAATCTATCTGTAGTGCTTGGTCTGGGTCAAGCCTAGACAAACATCCTAACAGTTTGAATGAAGATTAATGGTGCAGGAGTGTTTGCCTGCATGTGGCCATGCTGCTGGATGTTTTAAAACATGATTGGGAATGTTCTCTAATTAGAGTCTCCTTTGCAGATGCTGTGTGGTAATGGTTCTTGATGGACAGGGGCAGAGACATTTTTCTAACTGTCAGTATCATGATTTTTCTCTCCCTAAGAGTCTTAATTTGTGGCTGTATCTTATAACAAGGGAAGTATGTATCTCCAGACGGCAACAGGATTGGAGTAGCAGGGAGTATGTTTAAATTTGCAACAAAGCTCTGATGAGTGGTCTGAAAATTTTGGTGTAACTGTTAGGCACCAGTTTGACTCACAGTATGTACTTGAAAACTTCTGACACTAGTTATCCAAAATGAAATAAAATGACTACTTTTAAAAAATATTATATGTTTAATTTTAGGTCTCACTTTCACAAATGCTTTAGCAAAGCTTAAAAATCTATTTTATGAGGTCCAATGACTGTCAAGATTTAATTCATAATTAGCATTAATGATAAACTATGCTGAGTTCCCAACTAAGTGTGATCCAAATCAAACAATCAAATAAGGGAATAATCTAATTTTTGGCATGAAGGACGGACTGTTGAACATATCTTTTATTAATAAAATAATTTCTTTTCAGACTCACAGTTGTGTCCAAAGTAAAACAATTTACATAGCACATGGCTATTTTTTTATTTTTATGTATTTATTTATTATTATTATACTTTAAGTTTTAGGGTACATGTGCACAATGTGAAGGTTAGTTACATATGTATACGTGTGCCATGCTGGTGCGCTGCACCCACTAACTCTTCATCTAGCGTTAGGTATATCTCCCAATGCTGTCCCTCCCCCCTCCCCCCAACCCACAACAGTCCCCAGAGTGTGATGTTCCCCTTCCTGCATCCATGTGTTCTCATTGTTCAATTCCCACCTATGAGTGAGAATATGTGGTATTTGGTTTTTTGTTCTTGTGATAGTTTATTGAGAATGATGATTTCCAGTTTCATCCATGTCCCTACAAAGGACATGAACTCATCATTTCTTATGGCTGCATAGTATTCCATGGTGTATATGTGCCACATTTTCTTAATCCAGTCTATCATTGTTGGACATTTGGGTTGGTTCCAAGTCTTTGCTATTGTGAATAATGCCGCAATAAACATACGTGTGCATGTGTCTTTATAGCAGCATGATTTATAGTCCTTTGGGTATATACCCAGTAATGGGATGGCTGGGTCAAATGGTATTTCTAGTTCTAGATCCCTGAGGAATCGCCACACTGACTTCCACAATGGTTGAACAAGTTTACAGTCCCACCAACAGTGTAAAAGTGTTCCTATTTCTCCACATCCTCTCCAGCACCTGTTGTTTCCTGACTTTTTAATGATTGCGATTCTAACTGGTGTGAGATGGTATCTCATTGTTGGAAGTTCTGGCCAGGGCAATTAGGCAGGAGAAGGAAATAAAGGGTATTCAATTAAGAAAAGAGGAAGTCAAATTGTCCCTGTTTGCAGACGACATGATTATATATCTAGAAAACCCCATTGTCTCAGCCCAAAATCTCCTTAAGCTGATAAGCAACTTCAGCAAAGTCTCAGGATACAAAATCAATGTACAAAAATCACAAGCATTCTTATACACCAACAACAGACAAACAGAGAGCCAAATCATGAGTGAACTCCCGTTCACAATTGCTTCAAAGAGAATAAAATACCTAGGAATCCAACTTACAAGGGATGTGAAGGACCTCTTCAAGGAGAACTACAAACCACTGCTTGAGGAAATAAAAGAGGATACAAACAAACGGAAGAACATTCCATGCTCATGGGTAGGAAGAATCAATATCGTGAAAATGGCCATACTGCCCAAGGTAATTTACAGATTCAATGCCATCCCCATCAAGCTACCAATGACTTTCTTCACAGAATTGGAAAAAACTACTTTAAAGTTCATATGGAACCATAAAAGAGCCCGCATCGCCAAATCAATCCTAAGCCAAAAGAACAAAGCTGGAGGCATCGCACATGGCTGTTTTATAATAGGAGTCATTTTCCCTGAATGATTATGCCCCCATATGTAGAATTCCACTGTGTATTCATATAATTTTATGACCTCAGTAAAACTGCAGTATGTGTTGTTTATCTTACTGTTGTATACTTACTTACTTCAGTGCTCTACCCCCCGTAATCTTGGCTTTTCATAAATTGGCCTGTGATGAGGCCTGGCTTCTTTCCTGATGTTTTTGATCCAAAAACGTTATGGTGAGAAAACAATCAAGTTTCTCATGATCTAGGGCACAGTGCAGATTTTTTTATGTTCTAGCAGCCCTCCCTAAGAATGAGATTTAGGGATTTGTAAAGCCACTGAGGATACCTGCAACATTTTGTGTACATGAGAACGTATTTATTTTTATTGAAGTGTAGCTCTAAAGCTTTCTAGTAGAGCTACAAGAAAATCAGATAATCATACAGATCTGTTGTCATAAATTTTGTAACATCTTGTAATAAATCTAATACCATTTTAATGATATTCTAAAACACTGAGACTAAAGATGATCATCTGTCATTAAGGGGCTGAGCTAATCTATTTTGTCACACTTCCTGGCTTTTTTGGGGGGATGGTTGTTTACACAGTTAGATCTTTTTTTCCCAACACAGGGATTTGGGTAAAATAGATATTTACATAATTAGTGTAATGGCAGAAAAAGTTGAAAATAAAGGCCAATGAATGCATCAGGATATTAGTTACTTTCTCATCCCTTTCCTACTTCCTGACTTATAGTTGGCTCTGCAGATATTCATTACTTAAGATTCTTGTGTTATGGGGCTTTTTCTCTATTTTTTGAGTATGGAAATTCTAGGTTGTCTTTCAATGAGGTCAGTTAGGGACTCTGCTAATAAAACATTGGTTGGAAACATCTGTGGCTTGGAGCCAGTTTTTGTCTTAGTTGCTTGGTAGTTCAGTTAAGATTCTACCCTCAGAACATTTTTTACATACTAGTGGCTAATTTTTCCCAAACCTTTAAAAGCACCAAGAACCAAATGGACTGTGACATAATATGTGTGTTTCTGAGGTGTAGCTCAGTATTTGATTTCCAGCGTGTGCTACTTTTTCTTGCCCGTGTGTCACTTTTTCTTCCTCGTGTGTGTGTGTTCATTCTCTCAAGGAAGATAGCTTGGACACTTTCTGCCAATTTGCTTTGAACAGAGACATAATGGAAGCACAAGAAGAGTAAGTGGAAAGGAGGAAAACTGATAGAAAATAGTAGACCCCAAATGCCCTTTTGTCTACGTGCCAAGATTATTCATTGCCAGAACCAAATAGCAAATGTGTTATGTCTGAACAGCTTCCCATGCTTACTGGCTCTTCACTTCCAAGCCTTAAAATCTATGTTATATCTATGGTACACCTGCCTGTCTGAATCTGATTTCAAGCCATTTTCTAAAAGCTATCTTGTTATTATCCTATAAGTCAAATAAAATGTGTTTTTCCAGTTAGAAGTTCACAGGCACTGATTTTTGCATAATCAATGACATTGATGCTGGGTATTGAGAGAACTAGAAATGGGACTATAATTGAGTCATGGCTCAGCTGCAGCAAAGAGAAGTGCAAATATTAACCCATGGAGAATAGCAGGGAGGCAGGTGGCAGTAGTTTCAGGCTTTCTTACAGTTCATTTATCAGCATGGGGCAGTAAGGTAGTAACTAAAAACTAATGATCCCTATACAGTGTTACATTTTCCAGTTTTCTGTTTAAATAGCCACAGGAAATAAAAAAATGAATGAAGACACATATGCATTATCATTTGTCAGCAAGTGATGGAAATCAGAGCTGGCCGTGTTACGATTTCCTCCTCCAGGTCTCCAACACTTGCAATGAACAAACAACCCTGTGTGATTTGGGAACTCATCAAGATAGATAGTTTTTGATACTTTTATGAAAATAGATAGTTTTTGATTGTTTTATCTCCCTCTGTAAAGGAAATTTTAAGCAGAGGAATCAAATTGAACATTTCCTTTGTATAACTTCTCTTAATTTTTGGATTTATAACTCTGTGAAAGTCAAGGCATAGGAAATCATTGCTAAGCTTCTAAACCAAAAAGGCTTACTAAGTTTTGAAAGCCACATTAAGAGAAGTGCAGATGTAGCAAGCAGCTTATCTATGTAGTTCTTCCCTTGCTAGGAAGCTCTGCTCAAGCTGTTGAGGTCATTGTTCCAAATAAGCTTTATATTCCTCTATAGAGGAATATAAATTTTTAAAATAGGGTTAATTTTTAAAATAGGGTGACTAAGTCACCTGCAGCAAATAAATGATTATCTCATCAAGACCACAGTGCTTTGGGGGTGGGTAAAATATATAGTAGCACTACCCTGAGGTATCAACTACAGTACTCCCCAACACCCCAACAGTGTATGAAGAATGATAGCATGCCAGTCTCTTCCTTTCATCATCTTTTAAAAAGCTAATTAACATATTAACTATGCTTGTCAAAATGTGGGGCAAATCATTTATAAATAAGCCTGTCAAATGTAATGAGATTGCATATTAAATCATCCGTTTCTCTATTACATCTCTGATTTAAGATTAAAATTAATTTATTTAACATTGTAGCAGCTGGGTGGTTAGAAAAAATTTCCATACCACTCTTGATATATAGAAAAATGTCCACATCAAAATTGATTTCGCATATGTTAGAAAAGAAATTGCCTGTTTATTAAGTATTGAAAGGCCATTTAGCATTGCTTTTTTATTAAATAAGCCTAATCACCATACATATTGGCAGTGTACAAAGTTCTGCCATTATCTTTAATGATCTTTCTTGAGCCAAGGAAATGTATATAATAAAATAATGTTTCTTAGGATTTAGGTTTATTTGCTAATGTTTTAAGGTAGAGAATCACAAATTAGCCCTACCATAGCCCCTACTTTGAAAATAAATTTGTTCTATATGAGGTCCTGTGGTTTGATTTGAGACTTGAGTAATAATAATAGTAACAGCAATAGGTACTTCTATTGAACACAAACTGTATTCTGAGCCCTGTTATGCATTTTAATTACTTACCTATTTTACCATGATACAGTGAAAGAAAACCAAACCCAGAGATACTAAATAATATGGGTAAGGTCTTGCAGTTAGTAAATAGAGCACTCATTCAAACTCAGAGATAACCTACTCCAAGCCCTTTCTTTTTACAAGACACTACATAATCTCTTAAGATGATTTATTTAAAATTTGGTCTTTATTTTACCACTAGAGCAACTCCAAAACACAAATACAGCAAAACATATATTTTATAATTTAGGTTATACTCTGAGTCATGTCCTTTGCATAACTAAAATATAGTGGGTGTCTTTCACTCTCACTCAACAGTCTTTGGACTGTTTTTCTCTCCTGACATTGTTTTAAGACATTTTACTATACAGTTTTATGCAAGGAAGAGTTTTTTAAAAAAAATAAACCAAGGAATCCCTGGATTGAATACATTTTCACAGGACTAGTACTTATGCTGGCATGTATTAATATTTTCCCAATTCCTAGCCATTACTCATTTATTACTTTTGCTAAAATGAATGAGTTCATTTTAAACCAAAGGATAGTAAGAATGAGAATTTGAGTTGATGAGTTATGTTGAATCATCTATCTGTCAGCACTGTTTGTACTATTTCTAATTAATCAGGTCATAAGACCAAGGAACATATGAATTAGTTACTGTCAAATGTAACACCTCTTTAAGAGTTCTTGAGAACTGCTCAAATAATGCATGATCCAAGTGACTTGTTGGTGTAGCCAACGAAATGCAATGCAACATAACAAAAGAACTGGGGACAGTCAGAAGGGCATCCAGGAGATTGAAGCTGATGGTTTCTAAGCCCACTCTCACTACGGAAGTCCCTTAAAATTAGGATGACCCTGTATTTTATTATTATACCAGGACACCATTGAGAGTTAATAATTCTGCCAGGATAATAGGTGTAAAACAGAGATAATTGTGACATGTGGTCACCTTTCTCATAACGCACTAGAGCAATAATTTACTAAATACTACTAATCAGAATAGACTTAACACATTTGAGTGTTTAATTCACACTAAGGACTACTGATTACAAACTCAAATTCCTTGTTACAAACTTAATGTTACATTGCCTAATACAAATTATCTCTGTAAGTACAGTTCTCTCATATTAGGTTATTGTGGCATTTTAGAGTGGCTACTAAAGTGCCGAATTTAGTGATAGCTTTGGCATGCTGAAAGGAAGCACCTCTATTTTTATGTCAAAAATCTAGTGTGGGGCTGGGCATGGTGGCTCACAACTGTAATACCAGCACTTTGGGAGGCCAAGGCGGGTGGATCACCTGAGGGCAGGAGTTCAAGACCAGTCCCATCAACATGGTGAAACTGCATCTCTACTAAAAATACAAAATTAGCTGGGCATGGTGGCACATGCATGTAACCCCAGCTACTTGGGAGACTGAGACAGGAGAATCTCTTGAACCCGGGAGGCAGAGGTTACAGTGAGTTGAGATCGCACCATCGCACTCCAGCCTGGGTGACAGAGTGAGACTCCGTCTCAAAAAGAAAAAAAAAAAGTCTAGTGTGGTTATAGTTTTTATATTCCATTGTTGTTTATCGGTGTGTATGTTTGTGAGAGAGAGTATATGTGTGTTTTCAGTGCATATGCTTGGTCATTTATTGGCAATAAATTAGCTGAATGATAATATGTAAAATGAGGCATTGTTCACTACCAAATATTTTTAAGAACAAATAAAAATTTCCCCATTTTAAATCAATGTTTGCAAAATAATTGGCTATCCACAAACTGGTTTTGGGGTGATTTTTTAAACAGCCAATCACAGAGACTCAGTTTCATGACATTATTATAACCCTTGGTGCATTCAGCTGCCTCACTGGTTTGTGAGAATAACAAGAGATGGTTACATGTAAAATTTTTTAAGAAATATAAAACTCCCCAAATGTTGAGAACAGTGTTCTTATCAACTCTTAGAACGTCAATCAGCCAAGCTAAATATACTGCATTTCTATTGGGGTACAGCATCCAAGGGTGCTATGGGATATATAAAAGCTGCTCTATTTGGTTTTAGGGAAATTAACATACTGCCTGTGTCTTGAGAATCAAAAATAATTTTTGGCCCAGGATATTCTCATCTTAAGAGTGTGTGTGTGTGTGTGTGTGTGTGTGTGTGTGTGTGTTTTAATTTAGAAATATATAGGCAGGAGTGTTGGCTTACACCTGTAATCCCAGCACTTTGGGGGCCAAGGTGGGAGGATGGCATGAGGCTAGGCGTTTGAGACCAGCCTGGGCAACATGCTGAGATCCCATCTCAGCAAAGTATAAAAGTTCAGTTACCATGGTAGAGTGTGCCTATAGTCCCACAGGAGGCTGATGTGGGAAGACAGCTTGAGCCCCAGATTCAAGGCTGCAGTGAGCTATGATCACACCATTGCACTCCAGCCTGGCCCCAAGAGTGAGACCTACAAAAATAAAAAATTAAAAAAAAATAGAAGTACATAAACTAGTATTCAAATTTTAGAGAACATTGGATGTGCACTGGTGCTTTCGTGTTGTAAGTTGTGTATTTATTCATGTAGAAATCATTTCTCTGAACATTATCAACCTAAATAACAAAAACGGAAAGGGAGACTCTCTAAAAGAAAATGATGTTTATTCAGAAACAGGCATTGCAGTGGGAATATATGTGCCGTAATAAATTATGTGCGTATTGAGGGAGGTGAAGGAAGACAAAGGTTTTTTTTTTTTCTTTTTTCTTTTTCTTTTCTTTTTTTTTTTTTTTTTTTTTTGAGACGGAGTCTTACTCGGTCACCCAGACTGTAGTGCAATGGCGCGATCTCAGCTCACTGCAACCTTCGTCTCCCGGGTTCAAGAGATTCTCCTGCCTCAGCCTCCTGACTAGCCGGGATTACAGGCGCCCACTACCACGCCTGGCTAATTTTTGTATTTTTAGTAGAGATGGGGTTTCACCATGTTGGTCAGGCTGGTCTCGAACTCCTGACCTCGAGATCCACCTGCCTCGGTCTCCCAAAGTGCTGGGATTACAGGCGTGAGCCACTGTGCCTGGCCGACAAAGGTTTTTAAAGGAAAATTAGAAGAATTACATAATTGTTTTATGATAATTATCCTTGACTACAAAGATCAGTAACAAGCGTCATGGCAGTCTGACATTGGGCAGGCAGATGTCTTCATAGAAGTATGTTTTGTGTATAAGGTTGCAGTGGCCTTTGTGCAAGGCTGTGTTTTTTGCAGCCTTTTGTGATAGTTTTCATATATGAGAACCCTTCCTTCGTGGCCTTCCCCAGCTCTGTTTGTCAGGGGTTTTAACACAAGTGACTCCATTTTGATTGTGATAACTTTGACAAAATGTAACTAGCAGTGTTTTGCTTTATAAAGGAGAGTCATTGTTATAGTAGAAAACATATGGAAAACCTAGGTCAGCTTCCCTCTGCCACTTCTTAGCTGGGTGACTTTAGTTGAACAAGTTCCTTAGCTACTCCTAGCTTCAGTTTCCGAACCAGAAAACTGTAACAATAAAACCTATTTTAAGTATAACCTATAACTAACATACCACAGCAATAACAATAGAAAAACAGTGATCTTCTGCCTCATCCATACCCACCCTTTAATCCTATTTACCAGAAGCAACTACTTTTAACTGTTTGTTTTTAATTATTTTTTATTTATTTTTACTTTTAACTCTTTTAGACATGGTATTTTACTTCTGTCTTAAATTGCTTATATTGCTATTCATTGATTTACTATTTTCGACACTATCTACTAAGTAGGTATTATGGTAGATGAGGATTTAACTTGCTTCTGTCAACCTTACTTCATTATCCTAATTTAGAATCTATATCACGTCTTAGAACATTAATATATAAATATTATTCATGCTTAAAGTCAGGTAGTATTTATGATGATATATTTTCTTGTATAACCTTTTGCTTTTCCTGGACTTAATAACTGTCTGTGATTCTTATTAGTTGTCTTTGCTCTTATGACTAATTATAATTGTGAAGAATTTATCAATTACCTATGAAAACATATTTTTCAAATTCTCAAACACAACAGCAAATCTATCAGTTCCATTTACTTTTTTTACGTCTCCTTTCCTCAGCCATGTTCTTGAAACTTTCCTCTCTCGGCTTTCTGATTTCTTGGCTTGGCACAATGTAGCATTTCTTATCTCAGACTTCATTTGCTCCCCACTCATCCCCATCCCCACTTTGTCTCTGCATGGTGTTGTAGGTCCTAAGATGGTTATTCTCTGTTCTCTTCCTAATCTCTTCCCCACCCTCTTCTGTCCTGCCCTGTGTCTTACTTCGCTGACCCCTAGGGAATTGCATCCTCTCAGCTGCCATCACTCACTGGTTTCCAGCTGGGTTCAGGCAAAAACAAGTGAGAGGAGAGAGTGACTGTATACTTTTCCCTAATTCTTCTGCATGTTAGACCATGTTTCTGGAAATGACTAACTACAACTTCTTTGGGGAAGCTTCTCTCCCATAGCACTAGTTGTCAGTAGACACTAATAACACTTAGGTCTTAGTTGGAGAGGGAGTCATGGCTTCCTGCTGTTGCTAGAATCTGAGTATTTCTGTATGTCTTATTGGTTCCCTTATAGCTCTATTCGTAGTCACTTCTGGGTTGGATCCATTTTCCTTCTGGAGTGTCACTGACTGCAGATTCCCTTTATCTGGATTCCATGTCTTCCTCCTTTAGGTGCATTAGAAGAATGCATACATTAGAGATACAGTTTTCAAATTCTTAGTATTTTGAAAACGCCTTTATTCTACTCTCACAAATGATTGATGTTTGGCTAACTGTATATCATTAATGATAATGTATAACTTGAATGTTAATTTTTTTCCTCAGAATTTTCAATACATTGTTTTATTTCCCTAGAGCTTCTGGTATTGCTGCTGAGAAGTGTGATTCCATTCTCCACTTCTCGATCATTTGTGTGCCCTCTCATACTTCCTCCCTGGAGGGAATTGGGTTCTTCCCTCTATCCCTGGTATTCCAGAATTTCATGATGATATTGCCTTGGTAGTATCTTTTTCTATTGGTGCTGGGTAAGTTTCCTTCAAGATAAAGAATAACGTGTTTTAGCTCTTAGAAAACTTCTTGAATTTCTTTTTTAAAAAAATGATTTCTTCCATCCTCTCTGTCGTCACTTTCTAGAAAATTTGTATTACTTTGATATTGGAACTCCTTTCTTAATCCTCTATTTTTTAAAGTCTTTTATATAACTTTGTATCTTACAAACCTTCTATTTAAAAAAAAATCAGCTTCCATATATAAAATTGTTCTTGCTTCCTTTCCTTCTGATCTGTATTTCTTCAAACACGGGGATGGGGACATTTTTTGGCTTTTCATTTACTTTTATACATTAAGCACTATAAATCTATACACTTAGAAGGGCCCAATTAACCGGTCAGTTCATTGTATATTGTTCATGCATAGAGCTAAACTTCTGGTTGGGAGATCCTCAGATGTCAGTATCTGAAGGCTTTTTCTTTGTTCCTCCTCATATGCTGATTACAGGCAGCTGACATCCTCAAAGCAGAGTGGAAAGGGGAGCTGATGGTCACATAGATCAGTAAACATGTTTTTCACACTTGATTTCCCTTTTTTTCAGCTCAGTGCCTCACCCTGCTCTCTTCTGCAACTTTTATCTTCAATTTGAGGCCTCCTGGGTTTAATGTCATCTACCCTGCTGGTGTGTGTTTAGGATGAGATGAGGGATAGTCAGAGAAGACCTATGAGGCTAAAGTTTGCTCTTCATACACATTTTCATTTCTCCCCTCTATCTCCAGCTGTCAGACTCAGCTTCACACTTTTTACATCCTGAACTTTTTCCAAGTTGCTGTAGGTAAATAATCTGACTATAACTTGAAGCTGTAACTCACTGCCTGTGGTCTGCCTAGATTGTCATGTCTTCATCTACATCTTCTCAAAACAGGTTACCTCTCAAGTACTTGTGCCTTCTCGTAGAGTTCTTTTATCCTTGTTTAAAATTTTATTTCCTAACTGACACTTTGGTCACTTGGGAGAAGACAAATGCAGCAATGTTAGTGAGTGCTGCTTGAGGGCAAGAACCAGGTCTTTCTCACCTTGAACGTCTTGATATTATGTAAGGTTGTCCAGAAGGAAGGAAAGGAGGGAGGGAGGAAGGTGGGAGGGGAGGTAGGGAGGTAGGGGGAGAGGGAGGGAGGGAGGGAAGGAAGGAGGGAAGGAAGGAAGGAAGGAAGGAAGAAAGGAAGGAAGGAAAGCAAGCAGGCTGGCTCATATTGTATAAGGAGGGAATTAGGTTCGTATTGTATAAGGATCTTTATAGGAAGGGAGCTGCCCTAATTCTAGAGGTGTCTAGAAAGGGAGATCTATGCACGTTTTACCACATGCCCTGCTTTTGTTGATTATTTAATATTTGTGACTTTAACTATGAACATTGACTACTAAGGGTCTTTGTCATGTAGACATTTGTGATTTTCCTGGGGCACAAATTTAACTTGCATATGCTGATGAGTGGGAGCTGATTAAATAGCGTAGTAATGCAGGCAGGAAACTCGTGACTGCTGCCATCTTAGTGTGGTGGTGGTTTATAATCCCTACCATTTAACTCTCAGTGAAATAACAAATTTATGAAAACCAACCTGAAAAGAAAGCCATACACTGGTTGATGAGATAGTGATGCAAGTTAATAAAATGTGAGGTCATAATTCTTTAAAAAGATAATAATTTTACATGAGTGGATTATAGAAAGTAGTTCTTTGGATCTGTGGGCTGTATGAATCCAAAAAAAAGCTTGCTGTTAAAACCAGCAAAAGTAGTTAGTGAAGCATTTTCAACAAGTGTTTAGGCAATAGAAAATTTCTAATCCAGTGAAGGTGAAAAAGTGGATCATTAACTTATATGCACAGGAAAGACATGATTGAATGGAAATGGGATTGGAGAGAAACTAGGAGCCTCTATAAATGTCATTGTGTGACAATAGTTACTAAAGATGCCTACCAGAATATTACAAGGATATCTACTTCATATTGCTTACTGAAGGATGGACGTGGAGAATTCTGTGCTTGTTATGACAATTGTGAATTAATTCTTCAGTACTGCATTACCTGGAGGTTATTTTAATTAACAATCACAGTTTCATTTGCTGGTATTTTGCTGTATGAATTACTATAAGTTAAATATTTTGGTGGCTTTCTTAATTTTAGATGCTATATTATGTAATTGGTAAACTTAGATGTTTGTGGGTTTTTAAAAAAAATTTATTCTTCAAATGTTGTATCCTTAGATTCCTGTTGGTAGATGTCATTAGAAAAAAAGAAAAGAAATAAAACAATAGTTGAAAAAGAACTAAACTTGAACTCAACTAAAACGACCTATCAGTGTCCAAGAAACATCCTGCTAAATTTCATTAAAAATAAAACAAAACGTATTCATAGTATGTGACAGTCGCTTAGTAATTACTAATGACAGAATCCGAGTAGCTTCCTATTTTCCTACACCCATGTGGGTTGCTCATCTTTTACTGTGGCGTTTTCTATTTCTCTGTATTTCTGTGTGAGACAATAGATTCCAAGAGTGGGATGTTTATATAATTGAATTTTCAGTTGAGCTTGGCAAAGCTTTTCTCATTTTTTCTGATTGATAATTTAAATGGTTCTTCCTTTATTGTTAGCTTTTACCATGTTTGTTTTTGAATACTTAATATATTCATAGCCTAATGGAAACCCCAACAGATTAAAAACTTTATTATAGAAATAAATAAATTTCCATCTATTTGTGACCATTTTATAACCTCTGAAATTAGAGGTGTTTGTTTTTGTTGTTTGTTTTTTCTCACACACTGGGTGTGGTTGATGGTAACAGAAAACAAAAAAAAAACAGCTCTAGAATCTCAGGGTAGCTCTCTTCCCACAGAAATCTCCCTTATACCTTGTGAGCCACTTCATTTATTCATTCAGCAAAACATTACAGAATGTCGAGAGGTGCAAGGTGAGAAGGACCTGGTTCCTGCCCTCGAGCAGCACCCACTAGCGCTACTGCATTGTACAACCCCAAAGGCATCATTCAAGTTGTAATCTATGTGCAGTGGCCAGACTGCAAAGCTACATTCCAGGGCAAATATTTGAGAATATTCCAAGAAGCCCACAGACTTCACCAAAAAAATGGACCCTGTTAATCTGTACCGGAAAGGTTTTTGCCTTTAGGTCTTGCATCTATTATCTCAGATATTAGGTTGTTGTCAAATATTTTACTGTAAAATATCAATCATCCAGTCATATATCTTAGTAGTGCCCATTTCAGCATTCTTACCCATAGTCCATCAAAGTCTAGCTATGCCATTTGATGACTGGAACTAAATATATCAACTTAACATAGTGTAAATTGAAGTTCAGAATTCTCCTTATAGTAGGATAATTTACATGAAGGTTTTAGCAGTGATTTCTCTTCACGATATGCCACATGAAGTTTCTTGAAAAAGATTGCTTGATGTGTCTTTTGCTTTGATTTTTAAGATAATTACCCATGAATAAATTTTTCCTAATTTCCTACATTATTGCATAAGGATTAATACATTTGCAGAGAGAAGCCTTAAAATATGACTTCCTTGTTTTGTATCAGCTGTCATATAAACAGAAATTAAAGATGTGCAAGGCTTATTAATTTGCTTTTTTCTCATTCTGCCTGGACTATGCTTATTCCTTAGAGAAGGGCCGTTATTGGTAGAGTTTTAAATGAATTATCAAATGGAACTTCTCCTTTCATTGTTCCATAATACAAGAAATAATATTTATCTGCTATTTCTTGTCATATTTTTCATTTTTCTTTTTTTTCTTACAGTAGTCCTCGGTGAAGGCATTTCCTATTTATATTTTTATACTAATTGTGGCTGGTTGCTGGATGTTACCAGTCCAAATATTCCTTGTTATCTATGTAACCTGGAGTTATTACTTTAAGACTCCATCTCTAGAGTCTTCATTATCCATAGGAGTCTGTGTTGAATTTTTAAGCTTTTTTTTTTTTTTTTGAGATGGAGTCTCACTCTGTCGCCCAGGCTGGAGTGCAGTGGCACAATCTCGGCTCATTGCAACCTCCGCCTCCCAGGTTTAAGCGATCCTCTGCCTCAGCCTCCTGAGTAGCTGGGATTACAGATGTGTATCACCATGCCCAGCTAATTTTTGTATTTTTAGTAGAGACAGGGCTTCACCATGTTGGCCAGGCTGGTGTTGAACTCCTGACCTCAGGTGATCCACCCGCCTCTGCTTCCCAAAGTGCCGGGATTAAAGGTGTGAGCCACTGTGCCTGGCTGAATTTTTAAGCACTTTTTAAACACAGCCAACATCATATTTTCAGTGCATTAGCAATGATGGTAGACTTCAATTTTATAGGATAGTTTTACTGTGTTCTTTGCCAAAGCCTCTAATTTTGAAGATTTTATTTTGATTTTGTCTTTATCTTTGCTGGCATTTGTGTCACCTGGGAAGAAATCAAAGTTGCCATCTCTATTTGCTCTTTTTTAACCTGACCAGGCTGACCAAATAAAGACAGGTTTTTCTGACTGCAGAGGCAGCATAGCATAACAAAGAGATTGCTGACCCTGGATTCAGGAGATGCAGTTTCTGATTCTGCTACCTACACTAAGACATTTAAACATATAATACAGCTTCCTTACATGTAAAAATCAAAACATTGTCTGAGGCCTTCTCAAAGGTACCTTTATTTCTAAATTTTAGCATTCAAGTAAATTGTACAGTGGAGCGAAAGGTTTCCATGGAGACTGCTGGAGTTCCTTTGGAGTCTCTTAGAAATGAAGTTAGAGTTCAGGTATTTTGGTGAAATTACTGAGTTGATTTTTTTATTAGTGTTTAATTTCATAGGATAATATTAGCTCTAAATAAAATGCCTTTTTCTGTTGCAGTATCTTGTGTGTACTCCTCAGACTAGTTTATGCAATTCATTCATTTATTCCCTCATTTTTTATTATTATTATACTTTAAGTTTTAGGGTACATGTGCACAACGTGCAGGTTTGTTACATATGTATACATGTGCCATGTTGCGCTCATCAACTCGTCATTTAGCATTAGGTGTATCTCCTAATGCCATCCCTCCCCGCTCCCCCCACCCCACAACAGTCCCCGGTGTGTGTCCATGTGTTCTCATTGTTCAGTTCCCACCTATGAGTGAGAACATGTGGTTTTTTTTTTTTTGTCTCGTTTTAAAGATAGTTATTGAACACCTATTTTGTACAAGGCAGTTTGTGAGATCTTGGAACTGAAAAGATGAGAAAGATGTATTCATGCCTTCAAGGTCACAGGGAAAGACAGTGTGATGAGCCATAACACAGGTATATGGTTAGTACAGTGGCAGCTCAGAGGTGAAGGTGATAAATTTATCCTCAGTGAATGATTAAGGGGATCAGGGGAGGCTTCACCCGGTGGTAATTACTCTGCCTGACTTCTCAAAGCCATCTTTCCAAGCTAACAAAGCTAGGTTTGAAGGACGTGTACATCATGCCATGGACAAAGACTAACAGCTGAAATATCTGGTGTTTTGTAGATAGAGATGGAGGATAGGATTTCAGAAGCATTCAAAAAGGATGGTAAGGAGGAAGAGAGAAAGTGTTTGGAGATCAGATTGTAGAAGTATTTAGGAATACTTAGGATGTAGACAACTTGATGACTGCATATACATAGTAAAAAAAAAAAAAAAAAAGGCAAAAGATTTCAGATGATTCCTGGGTTTCTGGATCTGGTAACTGGACCAGACAGCAAAAATACAGCTTTGCCATTTCATTAAAAAATAATAATAAATGTACATAGTAATTAAAGTGTATGAACAAAAATTATCATTGGAACATAAGGAACATTTATGCTGGTTGGCACTTTAAGATTGTTGGGCTTCTCAGTCTTCCGTGTTAGTTTTATTGCTGATGTAGATCCTAGTAAGAGGATTCTAATCACTTGCCTGGTGCCTCCCTCCAAGTCAGCAGCAGGCCACCCTGGGCCTTGAGTCTACTGAACTACATTAGCTTAGCTTCCTGTACTTTATTTTTTACTTTTGTTTTTATTCTGATATGCTTAATTTGTAAGTACAACTTCTTAGAGATATAATTTTGTTTCATAGTTGAAAAATAAATATTATAGTTTCCCATTATATTAAAAGTTTATTGTTTTGAATCAAATATTTTCTAAGATGGGCTTTTACCCACAATCCAGGGTTATATTTTCATTCCTTAAGAGCAAAGTACTCCATAGAAGTTCTTGACTAAGATATATTGTGCCTATCTGTGCCTAATGAAGCACTAACCACAGTAAATGATGAGTGGCAGTTTAATCAATTTGGTTCCTTCTGTAGTCACCAAGGGCATGCAGAATGTAATTTTTTAGTCTTTCACTTTTCAAATACTGCAAATGCCAAAATGAAAAGATTAAGTCTGTTATATGTAATAAATTTTCTTTTAGAATACAGAAAAAGGTCACTTTTTAATTTTCATCTTTTTGAAGCTGACCTCCTAGGGAAGAAAACTCTTTGTTCTATTTTACATATATATACATTCCTTCAGAGAAGAGTAAGATAAATAAATGGCTACCTTGGTGCATCAAATAGTTCTAGCTTTAATTGCATAATGGTTTATTTCAGTGAACCATGGCTAAATAAAATTTCCTATTAGGTTAATTAATGTGGAAGCATTCTGAGTTTGTATTGCATCCCTGTGTGTTAAATTTAGATTATGTTTTGCATTTAATCTAACTTATTTCAGTGATCTGTTTCTTTGTTGTTCCTTTGGCTGGAGCTTGAATATATGTTCAGAGAATTGATCTGAGTTATAAAACTCCATTCAAAACAGAATTACCCAAATTCCTTTACATTATCGCCCCTCAGTACCTGATTTTGAGAACAGCAGCATCAACATGGCTTGGAAGCTTGTTAGAAATGCAGGATCTCAGGCCTCAACCCATACCCAGTAATTAGAATCTGAATTCTAAGAAGATCTCCATGTGGTTAGCATACACATTAAAGGATGAGAAGCACTGCTTCAAGTACTTTTTTTGGAAGGATACATAGGATTTGAGGAAATTTCCGATGCCAGCATAATGTTGAAAGGCAGAGAACTAACCTGTAATGAGTTATGGTTCTGTTCATCTGCTTGCCTCCTGTCAGAATCAGAAACAGCTTGACACTCCCTTTTTTAACATCCTTCTTTCCAAAGGTTTCAACAATGCAGATGGCTCTGAAGGGCTCTAAATAATTTTCTAAACTTGAGAAGAGGCCTCTTATCACTTTCAATTAGGAAATTATGTATAATAAGGGGCAGGTCTCCCCCCACCATAATAGTCTAAGTTTGATGAGTCATTGTTCCTGCTGCACATATGGCAGTGCACGGGCTATGCTGTGTCATGATCCCTCTGGAATTGAAACTGTCACTCTGCTTAAAGCTCTCGGTCCTAAGGAATCCCAAGCCTTTGCTAACACATGGATGCAATAAAAAAACGAAAATCTAGGCAGTGTTTTCTGACATTTTCATTGCAACCATATTTTAAAATATTAGAGTCTTTCTGCATTATCTACTGATATTGAGCCAAACTTTTATCGGGGGGACCAGCCCACAATATTTCAACGTAGGTTCTTTCTATTTTCCTAAGTGTTGGCTGATCTGAGAAATAAAGAGAAAGAATACAAAGAGAGAAATTTTACAGCTGGGCCTCTGGGGGTGTCATCACATATTGGTAGGACTGTGATGGCGACCTCGAGCCGCAAAACCAGCAATTTTTTTTAGGGATTTTGAAAGGAGAGGGGGTGTACTTACAGGGAGTAAGTCACAGAGATCACATGCTTCAAAGGGCAATGAAAGATCACAAGGCAAGGGCAAAATTAGAATTACTGATGAGGGTCTGTGTCCCACTGTGCACGCATTGTCTTGAAAAACATCTTAACAGGAAACAGGGTTCGAGAGCAGACAACCGGTCTGACTAGAATTCACCAGGCTGGAATTTCCCAATCCTAGTAAGCCTGAGGGTACTGCAGGAGACCAGGGCATATTTCAGTCCTTATCTCAACCTCGTAAGACAGACACTCCCAGAGCAGCCGTCTATAGACCTCCCCCCAGGAATGCATTCCTTCGCTAGGGTATCAATTATTAATATTTCTTTCTGGGAAAAGAATTCAGTGATACTTCTCCTATTCACATAACCATCTATAGGCTTTCTACGAGAAGGAAAATATGGCTCTATTCTGCCTGACCCCACAGGCAGTTAGACCTTATGGTTATCTTTCCTTGTTCCCTGAAAATTGCTGTTATTCTGTTTTTTTTCAGGGTGCCCTGATTTCATATTGTTCAAACACACATGTTTTACAAACAATTTGTACAGTTAACGCAATCATCACAGGGTCCTGAGGCGACATACATCCTCAGCTTATGAAGATTACAGGATTAAGAGATTAAGACAGGCATAAGAAATTATAAAAGTATTAATTTGGGTAACTAATAAATGTCCATGAAATCTTCACAATTTATGTTCTTCTGCCGTGGCTTCAGCCAGTCCCTCTGTTCTGGGTCTCTGACTTCCCGAAACAAACTTTTGCCTTGAGAATTAGGGAAGAAGGAGAACAATGTTTTATTTTTTTGATATCTTAATCTAACCAAAATTAGATTAATGTCAACTAGAGAAATAATAATCTTTATGTCTTATTCTGCTTCCTCATGTGATATAATTATTTATTGAGTTAATTACCATTTAGTTAACAATATCTTTTTGAGAAAATTGACTGAGTATAGTCCCTTGAAAATATGCATCAAATGCAGATTTTTTTATTATGCATGCTGATGGATGTAATTAATCCATATTTAGTTGAAAGATAGAAAGTTATCCTACACCATAAAATCCCAACAGGACTTTAATGAACAGATACATACATTACAAGGCATATTAGCTGGTGCCTTTTTGACCTAACCCTATTTCATTCAGGTCTGGTAATGTTGCCATATCGCCATAACCCCTATCAATCATTTGGGCTATATTTTTAAAAGCAAAAGACCAAATCTTTGTTCTGAGAAAGGTAATGGTGGCTAATACATTTACAAGTAAATAAATAAATTGCAGTTGTAGAAAGTATCATGGAGAGCACAGAGTTAGGGGACCTAACATAGCCTGAGAGATCAGAAGACCTTCCCACAGAAGTAGCCCTGAACTTGTCTTTCCCTTTTCTAAGGGAGGAAAGTTCTTACTCCTTCCCTGTAAATTACATTTTTTTCTATGTATTACACACTCCACCCTACCCTTGCCCCAAATATAGTAGTTTCAATAAATCTTTTCACCTTGAATTCCTTTGCCATAGAGTATATTATATATATTTCTTCAAATACTTTCATATTAAATTTTTAATTTAATTTTTAAAAATTGACAATAATTTACATTTTCATTGGGTACATAGTGATGTTTTGATACATATAATGTATAGTGATCAGATCAGGGTAATTAGCCCATCCTTCATATAAAAACATTTATCATTTCTTTGTGTTGGAAACATTCAATATCTTCCTTCTAGCCATTTGAAACTATATAGTATAGTATTATTGTTATAGTCTTAATAATATATATAGTATATGTTACATATAATATAGTCTTATTTTCTTAACTATAGTCATCCTACATTGGTATAAGACACTAGAACTTATTCCTTCCTTCTGGCTGTAATTTTGTGTCTTTTAGCAAATCTCCCCCTATACTTTCCTTCACTACCCTTACCAGCCTCTAGTACCTTCTGTTCTACTTTTTACTTCTATGACATTGACTTTTTTTAGCTTCCGTATATGAGTGAGAACATGCGGTGTTTAACTTTCTGTCCCTGGCTTATTTCACTTAAGATAATGCCCTCCATTTCCATCTATGTTGTCACAAAAGACAAGATTTCATTCTTTTTTTATGGCTGAATAGTATTCATTGTGCTTGTAGACCATATTTTCTTCATCCATTCATCTGTTGTTGAACACCTAGCTTCATTTCCTATCTTAGCTATTGTGAATAGTTCTGCAGTGAACATGGGGTGCAAATGTCTCTTCAATATACTGATTTCTTTTCCTTTGGATAAATTCCCAGTAGTGGGATGGCTAGCTCATATGGTAGTTCTATTTGTAGTTTTTTGAGAAACCTCCATACTGTTCTCCATAGAACATTCCCACTAACAGTATATAAGAGTTCCCTTTTCTCCACATCCTTGCCAGCATTTGTTATTTTTTATCTTTTTCTTAATGGCCATCATAATTGGAGTGAAATGTCTTATTGTGATTTTGATGAGAATTTCCCTGATGTTTAGTGATGTTGAGCACTTTTTCATGTTTCTTGGCCATTTGTGTGTCTTCTTTTGGAAAATGTCTGTTCAGATCATTTGTCCCCCCGCTTTTTTTTCTTTTAAAGAGACAGGGTCCTTCTCTGTCACTTAGGGTGGAGTGCAGTAGTGCAATCATAGCTCATTGCAGCTTCAATCTCCTGGGTTCCAGCAGTCCTCCCACCTCAGCCTCCCCAGTAGCTGAGACTACTACAGGTGCAGTCCCACCATGCCTGGCAAATTTTTTTTTTTAACTTTTTGTGGAGACAGTCTTGCTGTGTTACCCAGATTGGTCTTGAACTCCCTAGCCTCAAGTGATTCTCCCACCTCAGCTTCCAAACTGCTGGGATTACAGGTAATCAACCATGGCACCTGTCCTCATCGGCCCATTTTTAAATAAGATTGATAGTTTTATCATTGTTGAGAAGTTTGAGTTCCTTATATATCCTAGATGTTAATCTATTGTCATACAAGTAGTTTGCAAATATTTACTCTCATTTTGTGGGTTGTTCTTTCACTCTGTTGATTGTTTCACTCTGTTTTCCTGCGTGTAGCTACATTCCTACCCCACTATATAAAAACTCAATTTAAGTCGGTTGGGGAGATGGATTTGAGACTTATCTCCCATCTGTACAGAAGCTTTTAGTGTAGAAGCTTTTGGTTTGATATAATCCCATTTGTTTATTTTTACTTTTGTTGCCTGTGCTTTTGATGTCTTATTCATGAAATCGTTTCCCAGATCAATGTCCTGTGTTTTCTTCTAGTAGTTTTACCGTTTTGGGCCTTATGTTTAAGTCTTTAATTCATTTTGAGGTGATTTTGTCTAAGGTGAAGCGTGGGAATCTAGTTTTGTTCTTCCGGATAAGAATATCCAATTTTCCCAGCAGCATTTCTTGAAGAGCTTGTCATTTTCCCTTGAGTGTTCTTGGCACCATTATCAAAACACTGGGGGTTCAGCCTAGGTTCCATTTGCCTGCTGCACAGAAAGCCAATGACTGAGACAATGAGTTTTGCCAGGGAAGAAGCCTTTATTTGGGTGCTGCAGCTGAAGAGACAAGAGAAAAGTCTCAAACCCATCTCCCCAGCTGACTAAAATTGGGGGTTTATATAATGCGGAAGGAATGTAGCTACATGCGGGGAAAGAGGAATTAGGGAGGAATAAGGAAGAGGAGTTTCAGTTCCATAATGCTGTCAGTTCTGAGGGTTGGTTTCCTGAGAAACGAACTCAGATAAGACAAATATGTTTCAAGCTTTAAGACTAGGAGATCAATTTCTATGTTTATTTTTTTTAAAAGACCATAAACATCAGTCTTACGGGAAATCATGACATGTCACTCATGATGTTAACCTTTGTCACATGGCTGAGATAGTGTTTGCCAGTTTTCTCCATTGTAAATTTGCATCCACACTCCCTCTCCACTCCTACTTCCATGCTGTACTCTTTGGAAACAAGTCACTAAGCTGAGCTCACACAGAATAGCCAGGGGGAAGGAGGGTCGTGTTGCTTTCGATTCATTCAGCAAATATTTTTGAGCCCTTATTATGTGCCTGACACTCTGCTATGTCCTGGGAATAAGGTGATGTCCACAACCTTGTCCCGATCTTGTAGATGTTCCATCTAGAGGAGACACACCCCCAAAAGCCAAACACAATTTAACATTTTTAAGTGTTATAAAGGGGACAAACTAGGAAAAATAGGGTGAGACACTGGGGCTGGGGCTGTAAGGAGGAACTGCCTTATAGGTGGTCGCTGGGAAAGACATTTCTAAGTGGAGCTATTTGCACTGACCTCTGAATAGCAAAAAGCAATTAACCAGGTACAGAGAGGGCAAAGGGAACAACAATCCGTGCAGAGATCTTGGGATGGGAAAGAGTGTGGCAAGTTTTAGGAGAGGACAGTGGAACAGCATGGCTGGAGCAGAGGAAATCTAATGTGGATACAGACATGATGTAAATTTGGAGATAGAGGTCAGCCGCACAGCATGCGGAGGCTTCACTGCCTCGAGCCTCTACTGTTGATTTTAAGGAAGAAAAAAGTTCAAGGGATAATTTTAAAAATTGGATTCCTCTCCTTTTGTCGATATAGGGGCACGTATGTAGGGTATGAGTAGAAAGAAAACAGGTGGAAAGAAAATCCTCTGAAATTAGGATAGAACCCAGCATAATTTTGGAAACCCCTTATGTTTATAAAATTAAATTTAATAGGTAAAATTTTCTAATGTTTATAAAATAAAAGGTAGTACTTCCAAGCATGATATAATGCTTCCCTGTCTTCTAAATATAAAATAAAAACTTTAAGTTAGTAAAATAACCTATCCCTCTTCTCCCTCCCATGATGCATATCAGCTCACAAAATTATCTATTTTGGGAAAAAGTTAGATAGCACCTTATTAAAAAAATCACTCCACATATTTTCTCCTAATTTATTTCTCAGTTCAAAATACTTTAGAGATTAAAATATCTTCAATCAAGTTTAGAATATCTACTAATTTTTGACAAAATGCAGGAAACTTCTAAGGCATATTTTATTACAGGAAAACTGCTAAAGACAGTAGTGAAAAAACAGATCATATTTAAGAGATTATTTCTATTATTTACAAATAATCATGATATATTATACTTTCTTTTCTTTGTTTTTCCATAACTGATTAGTATGACTTTTTCTATTATTGTGTTTTTTTGCAAGTGGAGCATAACATAGGTCAAGATTTCACAAACTTTGTAAAGGGCCTGATGGTAAAAAATGTAGGTTTTGCAGGACATGTGGTTTCTGTAGCAACTACTTATCTTTGTCATTTCGATGAGAAAGCAGCCATACATGGTACCTAAATGAATGAGTGTGGTTGTTTTTCATTAAAGCTTATTCATAGATATTGAAATTAGAATTTCAGGTAATGTTCGTATGTCACCAAATATTCTTCTTTCGATATTTTTCAACCATTTAAAAATGTAGAAGCCATTCTTAGAATGGAATATGGACTTCTGCTCTCTTTTTAGACTTTTCTTCTATTGTCCACATAGAGCCATAACAACAGCAGTTAGCTCTCTAAAGATTCTTCAGTTTACTAGACTCTGTTTTCTCAACCTGGAATATTTCCATTCCCAGTGCCATCACTCCATAATCCAACCAGCTTCAACTTTTCTAGCCCTTTCAGGCGTTAAGCATCCTTCCTAACCCTACACTCTGAGGTAAGCATGTCCTCTCATGCTCAAGGAACTGTGTAAAATGGAATACGTTATAATTACTGTGTTTATACCATATAGATCTACTAAACAGAAAGTTGATAGAAGTTTTCCCAAAATTAACAACAGTCCTAAAAGTTTACCGACCTTACGAACAATGAGAAGTGAAGCAGAGAAAAAAATTCTAAACTATTAGACATACCCCCAAACCAATGTTCATCGTCATGCTAGAGGAAAGTCTAAATTATCTCTACATTCTCGTTACAGAAAATGTTACTGTAGAATTGTCATAAGAAGACTTAATTGAAGATTATACAGCCAAATTATAGAAATAAATGTATTAGAGAAATTTGTCAGATAATGATAAATGTCAGATAGTTAATTTTACTTTGTTTTCCTGAATGTCAGACTGTTTGTTGCATTTGTTACCTTTTAAAATTTTGTGATTGCTTTTGACTGATTTGCTCATTTTAAATGCACTTCTATAGCCATTTTTTTAGTTATAATTTTATAATCTTTTTAATAACAAAAACTCCCAAATTATGTAAGTTTCAATCCTAAAAGATTGTCTGTCTCTGCTTGTACTGACAACAAATTGTCAATTCTGCTTAAAATTTTGTTTTGAATTGTGATGAAAAAAATCATTCATATACCTGAGACATAAATTAAATTGGGAAATGTTGAGTTCAAAAAATAGAAAAATGTGTGAGCATAGGTGGGTGTTTATGTATTACCTTACTGGGTAACTAATCCTAAAATAAGAGTTTGAGCATACTGCATCCTGTGACACCTTTGATTGTAAGCTTTTGTGACCAGTTCTTATTCTTGAAAAATTTAGACTAAGTGGGTGATAATTACATAATTATTCAAATTCTCAAAAGAAGGAACAAAGGAGACATTTCCTGATATAAGATTATATATCATAAATTATAGTGCTTAAGCAGATGAATTTTTTTTCTCAGTAAACCATTCAGTGCAGTCAATTTAATCCATTGAGAGAGGGAGCATGGGGCTAATGGAGGGTAGAAAGAGGTGGGGGGAAAGCAGACACTAGTTTCTTCATATTAAATTGAAGAGCTCTTATTGCTGTGTGGCAATAAGGCAGTCCAGTAATAAGGAATTCTGTTATATTCATATGTTGATATGTTTTATACACATACTTTTTAATTTTCTTGTACATTTTATCTCTTGTTGTGAGTCCTTTAAGTATAATTCTCTCAGCTTCTTTAGTACATCCTCGAGCATGTTTGAAAAAGATGACGTCATAGGAAACATCCACTAGAAATGAAAATCCAAGTCTTAGCCAGCTAAGCAGATAAGAGCTTATAAAAATGCTACATCATTTCATTCCAACTGAATAGAATTGCAGCATAGAATAGATTTGTCTTTTAATCATTCTAAGTAACATATTATGGAGATGATATAGACTAAACACAAGTAGTGCTAAAATAAATTCTATAAGTAGTTCTGGCAATGTAATAGTTATTTTTCTAGCCAGCCTAGCTGTGTACATAATGGGGGTGGCTATGGCTTCTGCTGAGGCTCTTCACACTCAGAACTGCAGCTTATGGTGGGAAAAAGGAAGGCCAAAAAGTAGAGAGCAGAGAGGATACACTGAGTGTAAAAAAGGAAGGTGCAGGTAGCTATTTAAGATCCAAGGTATTTTATTGTATAAACTAAAATAAGAAGAAAATAGTCTTAGAAAAGAATTCCTGACAGAAAAATTTGGAAAGCCACCGTACTAAAAATTTAAGTAGACTTAACCAGACATCTGAAGCCCTAATATTTATAAGCACATCATTGCATTCTAATATCTTAATAAAATAATTCTCTTGATACCTATGTTGTCTCTCAAATCTAAAATGAAAACAACTTGTGTAAAAACCCATCTACCTAGAACACTGGTTTGAAATTAGTTCTTTACTACTTAAATAAAATTACATCCTATGATATAAAATGGCATTTGTTTGTTTTTAGTCATTATAACACTGTATACTATTGGTGTTTACTTTGAATAAGAATCATGTGGTACAATAGGGAAGCAATTTCTGCAAATACATTACTTCTTTAATTCAAAACATTGTTTATATACAATTGTGATAACAACTGGAGTAGCTTTAGAGAAGTAGGTCACTTGGTCTTAACCCCTAGGTTTATGAAGTAAATTAAAGACACAAGTGTTTGCTTGCCCTAAATTGAGTATGGGGGTGCAGGAGTGGAAGAAGTGTCCCAATATGTTCGTGGTTTTATTAGAATACTTGCAAGAAACATAAACCCATTCAAATAGAGCCAATGTTAAAAATCTGGAGAATTTCCAGGAGGTAGAGAGTTCTAGAAACAAAACAAAACAAAACAAAACAAAACACTGGATCATCTGAACATCTAAGCCTCCAGAAGTCAAGAACCAAGTCATTTCAGGGGACTTCATCTGCAGGAATGTGTAGCCATTCATGCTACTTCCCTGACACTAATGTGACTTAGCCATCTACATATGCTAGTTTCTTACCATACTGCCCCATTCTCCAGAGTCCCGGCAGAAGTATCTAATTGGCTGTCTGTCCATACTATGGATTGGTTATTCCTGTTGGGCTTGGTGCAAGCTGCAGTGGTCTGGGAGGCAAGGTCTTTTGATTTACTGGACTAACTTGCTAGGTGGGAACTGTGAGCATGGCAGGTCAAGCTGCGAAAGAATGTCGAGCATGGTAGATGGCTCATAGAGTAATCCATAAGCTCATAAGGGGAGCAATTCTGTCTGCTGAAAGATCCATGAAAGGCATCACAGAGGAGATGCATTTAAACAGGATTATAGTGGTTGAGTTGGAATTTGCTATCAAGAGTAAATAGGCGAAGAAGGAGGGTACTCTAGATAGTGAAGCAATTTGAGCCAAATGGTACAGTTTTATGCCTGGCACTCAGGTAGATCAGTCTGGCTCAGCGATTCTCACTGTAGCTGCCCTGAATCATCTGAGCAGCCCATGTGGATGCCTGGGCTCCAACCTAGATAAAATGAAACAGGATCTCTGGGGTTTGTGGTCAGAGATATGCAGTTTCTTAACCTTCTCCAGATGATTCTAATGCAAAGAGGATTGAGAACCACTGAATGTCTAGAGACTACAATACTTTATAAGTTTGTGAAATATAATTGGAAAAGGATACTTGAACATGACTTGAGGACTCTTATACATCAGGCTAAGGACTTAACTGGATTCTATAAGTAATAGCACTAGAATGTGCTATTTTATTGGTTTCCACTCTTTTCTGAGCCCAGTATAGTTGCATCTATTTAGAGTTCTTTCAGGGCAGTAGATGGGGGCAGGGGGAGTGGGTAGGTTATGGGATCTAGGTGTACGTCACCTAGATAGCTCATGGTGCTCATTAAAAATACTGCTTATCAAGTAACTCCATTAAAAATGGGCAAAAGACATGAACAGGCATTTCTCAAAAGAAGACATACGAGCAGCCAACAAACATACTAAAAAATGCTCTGCATCACTAATCATCAGAGAAATGCAAATCAAAACCACAATGAGATACTACCTCACACCAGTCAGAATGGTTATTATTAAAAAGTCAAAATACAACAGATGCTGGCAAGGCTACAGAGAAAAGGGAATGCTCATACACTGTTCATGAGAATGTATAATAAATTAGTTCAGCCACCATGGAAAGCAGTTTGGAGATTTCTCAAAGATCTTAAAACAGAACTGTCATACAACCCAGCAATCTCATAACTGGGTATATATCTGAAAGAAAACAAATCATTCTAAAAAAAAGATACACATACTCACGTATTCACCACAGCACTATTCACAATAACAATGAGATGGACTCAACCTAGGTGCCCATCAACAATGGACTAGAGAAAGAAAATGTGGTACATACATACCATGGAATACTATGCAGCCATAAAAAAAGAATGAAATAGTATTGGCCATGTGCGGTGGCTCATGCCTGTAGTCCCAGCACTTTGGGAGGCCGAGACGGGCGGATCACAAGGTCAGGAGATCGCGACCATCCTGGCTAACACGGTGAAACCCCGTCTCTACTAAAAATACAAAAAAATTAGCCAGGCATGGTGGCAGGCACCTGTAGTCCCAGCTACTCGGGAGGCTGAGACAGGAGAATGGCGTGAACCCAGGAGGTAGAGCTTGCAGTGAGCAGAGATCGCGCCACTGCACTCCAGCCTGGGGGACAGAGCAAGACTCCATCTCAAAAAAAAAAAAAAAGAATGAAATAGTGTTGTTTGCAGCAACATGGATGCAGCTGGAGGCCATTATGCTAAGTGAATTAACACAGGAACAGGAAACCAAATACTGCATGTTGTCATTCATAAGTGGGAGCTAAACATCAGGTACTCACAACATAAAAAGCAACAATAGACACTAGAGACTACTAGAAGGAGGAGGAAGGAAGGGAGGCAAGGGTTAACAAACTATTGGGTACTACGTTCAGTACCTGGATGATGGGATCATTCATACCTGAGACCTCAGAATCACATAATATACCCATGTAACAAACCTGCACGTGTACCCCTGAATCTAAAATAAAAGTTAGAGGGGAAAAAGGAAACAGTTTACTCACCGCTTCTCTTCTGTAGGAGTGGATATTCTAATTCCAGATTTAGTTTTCCTAAGCAGAATATATTGAAGTTTTGTAACGATTCTTTCTTCTCTCTCTAGGGGAGTAGGTTGCATCTTTGTTGAAATGATCCAAGGAGTTGCTGCTTTTCCAGGAATGAAAGACATTCAGGATCAACTTGAACGAATATTTCTGGTAAGTCCTTTACAGAGTATTTCTAAGAAAAATTGGTTTCTAATTAGTCACTTAGTGACAAATTCTACAGCAGTCTGTGGAAAAATAATTTAAAACAAAATTTGTTGTCACATTTGGTTCTAACATATTTTGGACCTTTGAAAAAGCAGGAAATCAGTTAAGAATTATGTTTTTATACTACTGTACGTGAATAACATGTCAAAGTGGTAAGAAGGAATGGGGTGGGAGAGGCAATATAGAGAAAGTAATGGGTTAAAAATGAAGGTTCTGACAGAATAATTCCAAATAATTGCTATATAGATACTCCCTCCCCATCATGTAGGTGGAGCTTAACTCCCCCGTCCCCCTTGACTGTGAGCTTTGATAACTTTCTTCCATAAAGCAGAGCAGGGAGAGTGGGAAGATGGTGACTTTACAGTGGAGACACCAGTTAAACAGTACTTCCGTCAGGTTTTCAAGGCTATCATCATCAAAGATAAGTCATGTTAGTGGGCTGTACCCTTGATATGATGTGTTGATAATGGCACCTCACCTCTGTGGTCTTCCTCCCCAAACCATAGCCCCAGTTAAATCACAAAAAATATATCACACAAGCCAAAACTGACAGACATTCTACAAAATACATGACTGGTAGTCTTCAAAACTGTCAAGGTCATCAAAAACAAGGAAAGTTCGGGAAACTGGCATAAACCACAGGAGACTGGGGAGACATGACAAGTCAATGTTATGTGGTCTCCTGGATGAAATACTAGAAAGGAAAAACATTATTAAGTATGTTGTTAATATCAATATACCAATGTGAATTTCTTAGCTGTGTCAGTTGTACCATATTATGTAAGATTTTAATTAGAGAGAGAAACTGGGCGAGTGGTATACATGAGCTCTCTGTATTATGTTTTGTAACTTTCCTGTAAATCTAAAACTATTCTAAAATTAAAAGCTTATTTAAACTTTTGAAAATGTGTAAAATGTAAGTGTTCTGGAGCCAGACTATCTGGGCTTATCACCCTTCTCTGTCATGTTTTAGCCATGGGACTTTAAGCAAGGGGCTTATTAGTTCTCTGAGCTTTAGTTTTCTCATGGGTGAAATGAGGGATAATAACAGCACCTTCTTCATAGGTGGCTTTGAAGAATAATTGACTAATATAGTTCTTTTAGGACTCTGCTTGGCATATAGTAAATACTTTACATATATACAAATCGTTGTTATTTTAATTACATCATTTTATGCCAGATATTCAGTAGAGCTTCCAGTAGAGCTAATATTCATATAAACCTATAATTTAAAACATGAAATCAGAGTTAGACAAATTAAGTAAGCGCAACGTTTAAATACAGCTATCATATTAAGAATACAATCTGCAGTAGAACGTAGCGATACAAACTGAGGCCCCATCACTATTGTATTCCCTTAATGTCAGCAATAAAATGGTAAGAAAAGAAGACTGGAAACTAGGAAATTAAAGCACATGTGATTCCTCTATGCAGTAGCCTATATCCCTGTGAGTCGCTGTGTGCTAACAACAAATGGACAATCAGCAAAGTCCCTAACATAGAAACCATCCTCAAAGTGTTGTCCTGTTGGTTTTGTTCTTTCAGAAACCATCTGTATCCACTTCCTTTCAATTTTATTTTATTCAATATGTATAAATTCCCACACACAAATGTTAACATGATTATAAAAATAGTGTATTTTTATAATGGAAAATTCCTACAGTGTCAAAATGAAAAAAAGCTGAAAAATCACCCTTTGTCCTACTACCCAGAGAAAACCACATCTAGTATTTGGACATATATCTTCTATAGAGTTTTTCTATATGTATTTGAAAAAATTGAATCATATCTTGTATATTCTTTTGGAACCAGCTATTTCCACTAAACAATTTGTAATTAACACCTTTCAATGAAAAATAAATTCAGAAACCTATCATTCTTAATGACTGGGAAGTGTTTCATTATATGGATGAGACATTATTTACTTAACCAGCCCCATATTGATAGCTTGTTTTCAGTTTTTCATTATAATAAAATGCTGCCAGAAACTTTCATTGCACAATCATCCTGTTAGTTAAGAATAATTATTAGAATAAGAAGTCCTTATTTCAATAAAATTTAATTTTTATAGATGTAGACTATTTGTTCATATCCATCCCTTCATTTAAACTCATGAAACCTACTCCCAAGAAAATCTCTTATTCACTTTATTGAGATTGTACTGAGTCTATGGAAATAATACAAAATTGTACTTTCCTATCCACGATTAAATTATTCAATTTTATGGCTGTTAGCATAAATGTACAGTTTGTATAAACATGTTTGGTTTTTTGTTCTACTCAAGACTTTACTTTTATTCAATTATTTTAAATAACTTTTTCACAATAAGTTTCTTAAAAATATAAACTGTTCCATATATTTTGTATTGACAAAAATGGCCAAGAGAGAACTTTAATGGGCTGTAGTTTATATAAATTTTTATGCAAAGACATATCTCCAAATATTTAGCATTTTTATTTACATAAAGCTCATGTATAATGATAATAATAGTATAACCAAATTATATTCTGATAATTTTCTGAACTTTAGACTCCACTTTTCAGCCTCTGATAGCTGTTGAACAACAATAATGTAACTTGTCAAATTACTGATTTATGGTAGAATTATTACTGTACTGTATTTGAAAGCAGAAAACTTTAAAAAGGGAATTATACTGAAAAGAAAGAGCTCAACTTACATATTACTTTAGGTTGAATTATAAAGGAAAAGAAATTGTTATATAACTGAGATATATTATACAGCAACAGAACAAAAAGGTGAGTTTTATAAAAGCATAATTTATTGACATAGCTTTGTCAAAGCTTTCATTTGAAATCTTTGTTTAACAGAAGTAATTTCTGTTGGGTAATATCTTGTTGGATTATTTCTTGTATGAAATTTTTGCTATTATTTTTTAATTTTATGGCATTAGTTTCCCAATTTTATGGGTATTCAGAGACCTTTGAGCTATGACTAGGCTTTTAATAAGTCAGATAAATAAATCATTTTAAATTTCCCATGGGATTATTGATACACTAAACTACCATTGCTCTTGTTAGAGTACAGAGACCCTCAAATGCAGATAAGCATCATGATTTATGGCAATAATTCTTTCATTTACTGTAGTTATTTTACATGTCTAATGCCTCTTACAATAAAATGTCCTTTGATAATTAGGAAATGAAGATCATCATCTATATAAAATTACTGCTGTAGAATTAAATGATGCTATGTTTTGCCCTGAAGAATTAGACAAAGCCAGATAAAGAGAAATCTAAAGAATTCTTTTGACATTAAATGTTATCAACTTAAATATTTTATTTTCTCCACTGAATTGTTTAAATTTGCAAATATTAGCTATATTATCACACAAGTAGACTCTCTCAAGACTGGTGTGATCCTTGGAGGAGGAAATTTTATAAACCCAGTATGGTTAAATCACTGAGAAAAAAAAAATGCTTTTCCTCTGTGACCTTTTATGTCTAATCTTGGGAGGAATGACTATTAAATAGTAATTAGATCCACTTTAACAGGCCTGTAGTATAAACTGCCAGAGACTCTTTTCTAAAGTGGCAATTGTATATCTGGCCTCTGGTAAAGCATTGCCAAGGAGATAATCAACTTTGTAAAGTCATGAAACATGGGATTATTTGGTTTGTTTTGTGTTTTAATACAAGGATTAAGTTCATTCATTTGCCTGTGAACTGTACATAGAAAGGTAGTTAATAACTTTGAAGCACAAAATTAATAGCTTGTTACCCAAGACAGCTAATATAATTAGCTCCCACACACTGAGTCTTTATAAAATATGTGAAAGGAAATAAAGATCGGTTAGTAAAAGTCTTTATGTTTTTCTTTCTAAGGTTCTTTTTTCCCTATTCTCTTTTTTTCTTCCTTTGGTTGAAGGGAGCAGTTCACAATTTTAACAAGTTCAGTGAATTCATTTCTGGAACATAATAACCATGTTCATATGTATATAAGGTGAGCTGGGATATGCTACAATCTGAAATTTCACTGTTAAATCATTTTCCTTGACATTGTGATACATGCAAGAAAGGAAGGAAGATGATGGAATTTTGATGAATTATATTCAAGACATTTTGAATTGGCAGGTAAATAGGCACCTAATTCTCCAAGCAGTAACTCTGCTCTTAGGTGGAAAGAGTATTTATTTTCACTTCTTTAGCATTACCCAGTTTTTAATGTGGCATGGTGTATTCTATTCACCTCCATTAGTTGCAAAATAAGCAGCAAATGCATTCATCCAGGTGAATATATATTCAGAGTGACAAAATCACAACTAATAAAAAATTTGTATTCTAAACATATTATTCTGAATTGAAAAAGAAGGGTACTTGTACAACCCTGGGAATATGTTTCTCTCTCACTTCAAAACAGCTGAACAAATGGCAGGGAATGCTTGCACAGCTGTCTGAAACCTTTGGCAGATGCTTCTGGGTCTCTGTGGCTCATGGCCCATTGTGTGACAGTCATGACAGAGGAGCTGGAATGATTCTGTTTTTCAGATCTGTTCTTTTTCTCTCTGCATTTGAACGTTGATAACCCTGACAAATCACACCTTTCCTTGTCTCCTGGGTCTCCTGGCTTATAATGAAATTTCATCCACTGGTTGTTAAACTATTGTGCATTATTTGACTGGTACAATTGTTAAAATAGTCCTCTTCATCAATATATGCCATTCAGAATTTGAGTGTGTTTGTGTGTGAGTGTGTGTGTGTGTGTGTGTGTGTGTAATGAGCCACATGCAACTTTGAAAGCTACTATAGTACTCAGTCTGGCTTTTGAGTTGGATTATTCCTTAAGCCGCTGTGCTTTGCATTAAACTGACTGTGGAGGTATAGTTTGCAGATTCAGTTCCTGTCCTTGTTTCCTCCACATGGCTCCGATTCCAGGGTCTTTAGAACTGGAACCATAATCCTGCAGCTTCATGATTGGTTAGGGAAGCCTTGTAGAATGTAAGGGAAAGCTGATATCACCTCCTTGATGGTTATTACCATTCAAGTGGATGTATTATAACAGCCACATGGTTAGGATGGAATATTGCTGTCACAGATTTGTATCATCATTACCATTACTGGATTTGCTTTAGGTTATTTCTGCCATACTACTTCAGCAGTTACTCTGTAGCACTAGGTACAATGAAGACATAAAAGAATTATGTGTCATGGTGTCAGCCTGTAGTCTCTGTAGCACTAGGTACAATGAAGACATAAAAGAATTATGTGTCATGGTGTCAGCCTGTAGTAATGACCATGAAAATCAAGGCAGGTGGGCAAGGCATACTTCAGGAATGGAATCATGAATAATTGCTGAGCAATTGGTCAGCAGATGTGAGACCCAGCAATAACGGTGGATTCTATATTAGTTAAAATACTGAACGCTAAGAGTTAAATGTTGTGCTCTAATCCAAGGTTTTTGTTTTCTACCCGCCCTCACCCACTACCCCCAGCAAGCCACCTTTTCAAATTGGACAGTAGTTTCTGCATCTGTAAAGGAGGAAGTTAAACTAAGTGATTTCAATATTGTCTTGTAGCTGTAACCATTTTTAATTTTTTTAAATGCTTGATGTTACTGTATTATGTATAAATTATGGGTGTTTAAAGAAAAATTGCTAAGAAAATTTGTATTAAGCACTAAAGAAAGTATAAGATTTTGAAGTGAAAATAAGAGGGAAAAGGAGACATCAGGCAGTGGTATAGGAGTGGGTGGAAGGTGAGGTTGAATGTTCAAGACTGCACTTTGATAGTTTAGTATTTTTAAATCTCATTTTATCCATAATGTAATAAAACAGTATAACAGGAGAGTAATGTTAAGAGCATTTTAACAAAAATAATACAGTACAGTGTGGTAGTATGTGCCTATGGTCCCAGCTACTTGGAAAGTTGAGGTGGGAGGATCACTTAGCCCAGGAGTTCAAGGCTGCAGTGAGCTATGATTGTGCCACTGCACTCCAGCCTGCGTGACAGAGTGAGACCCCGTCTCTAGAAAAGAAATATACAATGTGGATAAAATGATAAATTCAACTGTATAAAGACTGGCAGAAGTAGAGAATTAAACAACACCTGTTAGGGTGAAGAACATTGAAAATATTAAGCTACAATTTTTAAATCAATTTTAGAAAAACAAATAGGGACAATAGATTATAATACTCTACCTCCCACCCTGGAACAAGTACCTCTTAATTTGTACTTGTTTCCTTCAAGCTTCATCTATAGGCATAGTCATTTACATGGCGAAAAATCTTTTTCAGAGAATCAACTGTATATAAGTAAAAGAAACGTATGAGAAAAAAATCACCACTGAGATATAACCAACATTAAACATTTTTGTATTCCCTTTTCTAGATTTTCACAATTGAGTTCATGATAAATTTATGGTTTTGTGTTTAGCTTCTCTTTAACAGGAAATAGAGAGCCATTTCCAAGCCATTAATATGTAATTGAAAATGTTATTTTAATTATACTATAATATCTTACAAATGTGCCCAAATAGAGAAACTCCAACATTTCTGTATTACTAGATAATTTGCTTGCAGTTTTTATGCTACGGTAATCATTGCATATTTTTACCACATTTAATTATTCATTCATTCAGCAAGATTATTAGGCACTTTATGTGACAGTCACTGTGACTATGGTGGTAAACCAACAAACATAGCCCCTACTTGCTTCGAGAATATGGTCAGCTGAGCTACATTTGAATAGCTTCCAGGAAACCAGGTCAGAAAGATGTTGCAAAACGATTGTTACACATCTTGGATATAAATGATGAGAAAAAGAGTCAAAGATAACTTAAAAGCTTCAAATTTGGGGAATTAAGTGATCAACGATGTCATTGAAAATAATGGGAACATTGAAAAGGAGTACCACTGGAGGGAGAGGAAGAAGAGAACTCAAGGTACTGGACTTTATGTGATAGCGGCGGTGACCTCAGATGGACATGTCCAGTATATAACTCATACACAACAAAATCAGGGAGATGCATGGGAATCAAGGAGCCATTCACCCAAAAGAGACAATCTTGGTTCCCACATCGTATTAGTTCTTGAATCATAAGAAGGTAGAGGGAAATGCAGTGGACCACTGCCTACCTTGTAGGGGATGTTCATGTTTTGGGGGATTGGAGGGCTAGACCAGGGGAGAAATCAGTACAGTGACACAAATCAAGGGAAGGGTGACCAGAAGAGAAATGAAGGGTAAGAACAGAAAAAGAAAATCACTCCCTGGAGCAAGATAATACTTCAGCTCAGGTCTGTTCAGCGGGTAGGGGTGGTGGGTTATGAAGCCAGATTCCCTTCCTTGCTTGTTCCCAGCATGTTCTGCACACTGCTCA